>NC_000004.12:179224411-179527441 GCF_000001405.40 Homo sapiens | reverse complement strand
AGGAGCTTCACCTGCCAAGGCTTGGATCTGGATCCAGGTTATTTTACTCCAAGCTTCAATGTCCCCCTTTCAAACTTATGGGTGAAACAATATTATGGGGAGAAGTTTGTTGGGTTAATCGTATGTTTAATAGTAGAATATGGACTGTTGAAATACATAGTAATAAAACAGTGAAGTAAATAAATAGTAAATAGTGAAAGTAAATAAAGTAGTAAAATGATCACATTTTAATTTGCTTAAGAATTATCTGGTACTATTAATAAACTTGCATATTGTTGAGCTTCACCAGGGAGAAAATAGATTGTACAGACATTTCTGTTATAATTGACTTGGGATACAGCTAAACATCTACACGTCTTACAATCACCCTGATAATTCTTATTCGAATTGTCCAAGGGCCAGAAATTCCATAAAACACATTTCTGAAGTTATGTATATTAAGCTAAAATTTACAACTTACAAAAATAATCTGTGATTCCAAGAACTGTTGCCAGTCTATCATAGCCAAATATTAATAGATTTTTTTTTGCCTTAAAAGACCAATAAATACCAGATATCTTGGGAATAAAACTAGAAAGATAAATAATACTAAAATTCTGCCTGTTGCAAACTGTAGTGTATGGTTGTTGCCAGTGGCTGGGGAGAAGGTCAAATGTGGAGTTGTTCAATGGGTATAGAATTGCAACTTTGCAAGATGGAAGAAGTTCGAGAGATCAATTCTGCGACAATGTGAATGTACTTAACACTTCCGAACTGTGCACTTAAAAATGTTTAAGATAGAAAATGTTCAAGACCAGCCTGGCCAATATGGCAAAACTGTCTCTACTAAAAATACAAAAATTAGCCAGGCATGGTGGTTAGGTGCCTGTAATCACAGCTACTCAGGAGGCTGAGGCACGAAAATTGCTTGAACCTCAGAGGCGGAGGTTGCAGTGAGCCGAGATCATGCCACTGCACTCCAGCCTGGGCAACAGAGTAAGACTCTGTCTCAAAAAAAAAAAAAAAAAAAAAGAGAGAAAGAAAAAAAAAAAAGAAAATATTATGTTGTGTACATTTTACTACAATTAGAAATTAAACAAAACACAACCACTTATCAGTACTGCACAATACAGGTTAGTCTTTCTCAAAAAGTTCTCACAGATCCAGAAAATGAAACCAGTCAAAGGCAAATGAAAAATAAAAGAGAATCTGGAATAAAAATAAACTAAAAGAAACAGAAAAAAAACAAATGAAGGTTCAGAAGGTAGATATGACCAACATTTTTAAAATTTTGAAAACTGAAGTAGAATGATCATAAGCTTGCCTCTTTAGACAGCAAACAGTAAATTAATATAAATTATATTGTGAAATGATTAGACCTTATTGAATATTCAGAATCTACACCACTGAGAATGGAGCTAGGCATACTGAAGTATATGGACAAAATGACAAAGAATAACTGAATAGTAGTTAATTATTATCATTATTATTATTATTATCATTAATCATTGGGCTAGAAGAAAAAGGCAGTGAATATTAGGTTGACAACCAAGAGTCTCTACTCTCATCCCTCGTGGGTAATCTGGGCAAACTAAAGAATTAAACAGCACAGTGTCTGCCTCAAGAGTGAGGATGAATTAACAAAGAGATATATGCTTATTGAGCCTGATTGTCCAAACTATTGGTTGCTGAATTGGTTTGGCTGTGTCCCCACCCAAATCTCACCTTGAAGTATAATAATTCTCATGTGTCTAGGGTGGGGCCCAGTGGAAATAATTGGATTATGGAGGCAATTTTCCCCATACTTTTTCTCATGGTATTGAATAGTCTCAAGAGATCTGATGGTTTTATAAATGGGAGTTCCCCTGCACAAGCTCTCTCTTGCCTGCTGCCATGTAAGACATGACTTTGCTCTTCTTTTGCCTTCTGCCATGACTGTGAGGCACCCCCTAGCCATGTGGAACCATGAGTCAATTAAACCTCTTTCCTTTATAAATTACCCAGTCTCAGGTATGTCTTTATTAGCAGTGTGAGAACAGAGTAATACAGTTGCCTACACAGCTAGGCATTTTTGTTATTATCTACATATCTATTATCAATTATCCATCTATGATATTGGAATTTTATACCACTTAAGTACTAACAAACAATAGCCTGAGAAATCATTATATTTTATTTGGCAGACTGCCTTTTCCTTTTGTAGATGAAATCATGATGAAATGGAAATAAGTTATTATCGCAAATTATCCTAAAGATTTTGATTTTGATGCTTTGAGCCAAAAATTTTTAAATCCTTTTTTTTTTTTTAATTTCCTTCAAAATCATTAGGCACAGTTTTTTTATTGGCCTCAATGTTGGCATATCTTGGGCCACTCAGGGCATAAAGGAAAAGTCATCTGCATTGCTTCCTTTCTTTTTTTCTTGAACCTATGTCTTCCTAGGTTTATTGAAATTGGGTTCATTTATAGAAACCAAATGTTGCAGTATTACAACATGTATTAATAGAATCCATTGCTGCTTCTTTCTCTACTGTGCCCTCAGTTGCTGAGAGCTAGCATTAGGTGGTTTTCAGACTACAAATAATGCTAATAATAACAATAATCTTCATACTTATTTAACATTTTCTATGTCCTTGACAAGAACTTCACATGCATCATCTAATTTACTCTTTACAACAACCTCACAAGGCTGAATTATTATCTCCATTTTATGAAGCCTGAACTCAAATTTAGAAAGGAAGACACACTTGATTAAGGTCCCACAGATGTGTGTATGCACGCAGGGGCTGAGATTTGAAACCAAAATTTTACTCTAGTTCACATGCTCTTTGGCACAATATTGCCGCTGGTAGCCGGTCTCGGTCTGTGATCTCCTTCTCCACCCTTGCCAACTTCCCTGCCTATCAGGCTGGATATTGGTTATACTTTGGTCACCACGAAGGATTCAGATAAGTTTAGATTAGAGCCCTACCTAGTACGTTTTGGCTCCACTAGGCCTAGTCACAAGAACTAAAACTCTGAGAAATTTTCCCTCCCTTGCTCCTAATTCCTTAAGTACAATTCCAGTTTTCTCTGACTTTTAATCCCTAAACTATAAGATAGAAAATGATGTCTCAACTTCTTCTTACCAGTCCAACCCTTCTGAAATACTATTTCAAATTGTCGCTACAGTTTGAGGACATGTTTCAATTGCCTATTTTCTCAGAGTTAATCTTTAGAACCAGGACATTTTTGCCAAGCCCATTCAAAGTTTTTCAGTGAATTTATACTGTCTCCAAATTATTCATCCTAATGTAGATTTTAAAACATCAAAATTGAATATTTGAATAAATTTGTACTAATGAATGTGCAAACTCGAATATAAATAGACAATATTTAAAAGAAAATTATGCATTAGTAAAATTTTACTCAAGAATAATTTGAAAGCTGAAATAAACTAATAATAAAAAACAAAAATTAAATCAGCTAAAATATCCACTTCTACCCATATCTGGCTTTGCAAACCCCCGTGGACTATTTTTTTCCCATCTCTTTTAGGTGCTTAATGCTCACATCCACATATTGGGATTTCCTTCTCTTCTCTTTCAGTTATTTTACATATTAAACAACGTCTTTGTTTCATAGTACCCAGTATGTATCTATCTTTGGAACTGGAAGGTGTAAATTTTTGACATCAATCATCTAGTTCACCATAGTGCCCTCGTATCATTAGAGTTGTTTTTTACTCTAAGGTTTCTAAAATTCTTTAATATGCTACATTTACATAAGGATTCTCCCATATTATTTGTATTAAGTGCATTTTGTCATAGATCTCTTATTTTGGAGTTTTTAAAGCTGCCGACATAATCATATTGTATAATTTATTTTTAAAATGCAGATTTAGACCTTTTCAAAATGCGTTTTGTACAACATCATTCCAGTAAAATTGCTAAAAAAGAAAAAGTCCAATTTTAAGGGTGTGAGTGGAACATATCCTCCTTTAGGTAAATGCACATCAGTATCCTGGAGGCCGTAGGATGTCCTCCAGTAAATAAACCTGTTTAACTTTGTTTAAATTCATTTCTGCTTGCCTGACTAAGGAATTCTTCACTTATTTTGAATGATCTCTGTAAAATATTGTGTCAGTAATACTATTCTGTTTTAAAAGTATTCAAGATACATGTGCATGGCATCTTTTAATATAGCTTTATCTATCAATCAATCTCCTTTTACTTTTCTCTCAAGTTCATTAAAATGTTAGCCAGAAATCTCAGATCATGTAATCATCCATGAGGAGATCATATACATAATAATATGCTTCACTTCTCTATTCCTGATGCCCCATTTTAGGAGACAGTCTTAAAAATACTATGCAATGAAGACACGGACTACCAAGAATGCTAGTTTCCAGAAACGCCACATACGTAGTATAAGGGCTTAGATATTGATATGTTTTGATACATTTTGCTGTGCCTTAGCTTTTCAACAGGGAAAATGAATCTTGTTGGAAGATATTTTCTTTTCGCAAATTTTGTCACTTTTTTCCTAGAAGATACCCCAGAACTTAAGAGTAATAGGATATGAAGACTATAAGAAGCCACAAAAGATTTGGTTTTTAATCTGCCGTAAGTTAACTGATAAATTCTTCAGTATAAAACAATCTCTAATTCTAGCAGAACAGTTGTTTTTAGTACTTAGATACAATGGTGACCAATGAAACTGTTCCCCACAGTAATAGTGCTGCAGAAACTGGTACTATATGCCACCAGGGGATCCCTGTGAACAGCTGTGCAGAAGCTGAATTTCCAGTGAGGGAAAAGTTACATATGAGTAACTACACATCACACAAACCATTTACAACAGTGTGAATGCTGAGCACCAGTATACGCTTTCAAATATTGCTACCTTGTGCAGCTTTCATTTCAAATGCTCTTCCTCTTGACCTTGATAATCATTGCAAATAGCTACCAAAATGTAGATAGTCTTCATATTTTATTAGTATCAAAATGTTGCTTATCAAGGTAGCTAAATAAACTCTTATTATATTTAAACCAATTTGTGTCAGTGCCAGATACACCCCCTGGTCATAGAGTGAGAATATTTGGATAGCTACCTGGTTATAAAGCAAGCTTATGTATATCATTGATTCTCAAATGGACAAAAAATGTACAAAATTTGCTTAGAACCAAAGGTTTGTCAAGAGAAATGGTGTCTGTGAGAAAAAGACTGCACAAATAGCCTCTTAGCAAGCAGAACTATTACATACCCAGAGGAAACTATAAGCTTTTTGTACAGATGCTAGATAAGCTTGCCAAGGAACCATATGCTGCTGCTGGAAGAATATTTTCGCAGTTTGGCATCTGGATCCTGGAATTACCATTCAACAGGGAAAATGAGAAGCATATGAAGATGAGGCATAAGATAGTGTCCACATTGCACCAAAATCCAACTTGTACAAAGGTGAATTTAAAATGTCATTTTAAGAGCGAGGGAATGTAATTAATTTCTATGACTGTTGCTTACAAGTTTTAAGTAGATACAAATGATATGTCCTGTGTAAACAAAGCAGATAAATTAGAGGATTTGATATTATAGGGGACCTGTAGCATATACTGTTAAAAAATTACTTATTTGGGGGATTTTGAATCTGATAGAGCAAAGACTGCAAGATAGAGAAATTCAGTACAATAGAGTTTATTTTTCTGTTGATTTTACTGTTTTCCTTTATGTCTGTATTCTGTCCTAGTTTTTATTTCAAAATAAACCTAACAGTTTTTAAAAAATATTTTTTCACTTGGTGTTTGTTTTTGTATCCAGGTTATCTGTTATAAAACGTACTCCACCGCATCCTTCTACTAAAAACTCTGATGCCCAGTCTGAAATTGTCATTCAGCACCAAGAAAATATAAGTGAAAGGGATGAGATTTTGGCTAATCAGCTGGGCAACAAAATGAGATATAAAGCCTCTATTATTTGAATGTCAGCTCAGTAGATACATTCAAGCAGCAAAAAGCAAACAAAACCAAACAAAAAGGTGGCACCATGGATTTAATGCAGTCATATTGCATTGGTGCAAACGTATCCATTAACAGAGCACGCTGAAGTTGATGCAGTTTTGTAAGAGGAAGCCACAGATATCCTGGCATTCCAGTGTTCACCTTTTGACTATTGTACTCCAGTGGCTAATTAATAGCACTTAAAAATTTCTGTCATAGTTGTATTAGCTAGTCAGTCATAGGTCAATATATCTGCTCCAAACAGCTGAGACATTTTCGTGGTAAGAAGCCTGGAGATAATGCATGAAAAGGGCCAGACCTTTCCTTGCCCTTTGCTATATTCCTCTTTTAGCGATAGATCCCATGTTTTTTAATTACAACCGAGGTTGTCACTACAATAATGAGTTCTCCATCTGCATTTGGTTTCAAATTCAGATAGATAATGGAGGTTAGGGAAGGTTAAATTTCTCTCTGGCTGTGTTTACATATTGCCAAAACAACTCATCTTTTCAGTCAATTTAGGGGAAAAACCAGCTAGATAATTTATTTGTTATTAGGTAGCAACCCATTGACAGAGATTGCCACCTCTGACCAGTTTAATATTGTGAAAAACACAATTAAATCAGGTGGAGTGTTTTGGTTAACTCTCCCTCTCTCTTTTCATTAATACTCTCCATCTATCTTTTTAATATCAGGTTCTAAAAGCAGCTAATTAATTGTAAATCACTTTATAATTTTCACTGTGCATTCACATACCTCAGATCATGAGGACTTTGTGAGGCCACTAAGGCCCATGTTGGTGTCCCCATTTCTTAGATTTAAAATATGACCCAAACGGAAAGTAAATGTTCATACAAAGTCATTCAACTAGAAGAAGATCATGGGCCATCATATTGCTAGTCCAATACACACACACACATACACACACACACACATCCTCCCAATACACACACACACATCCTCCCAATACACACACACACACATACACACAACTACTTCACACATATATGCTCTTAATTTTATTCAAGTATTTATATATAATCCTTTCCAGAGTGGAAAATTTTTGTCAGATTTTCAGTTTTTCGGTATAGTATAAAATATACACTTTGTTGAATATCATGACCGGTTTAAAAAGATTAATATTAAATACCTCATTTAACCAAACCTTTGCTTTGTGAACTGTGTGAAAGTGGAGCATGTCTCTTGATAAAATAATTTTATAGAGTAGATATTTTACATTTCTGGGATTTTATTATTTGTGGATGTAAAATGATACACTTAAAGAGGGTATACCTAGCTCTACACCTAGTCATTATTAAGATTACATGATTTATAACAGTTACTAATACTAAACTTTGATTAATACTCACGTGATCACTAGGAGAGTAGAGATAAGGAGATATAAAGAAATGAGCAAAAAATGAATAAACACAAAATCAACACATAATTAACAAATCTGATTATACTAAGCTGATGATCTCATACTCCCATAAGATCTTTTACTACAAGAACTAGACATTTAAATGATTTCTCTGTTGTAAATTTCTTGCCTGATTTACATTCTGGTTTACAAAAGTGATGGTGAGGACACGGCTTGGTGAATCTTGCTCAGCTTTGGATTCTACATTGGAAACTTAGGTGGCCATGCCTAAGGTCTTTTGTTATTTTTGTTGTTGCTATTGTTTTACTTTTAAGACTACATTTACACTGGCCCCAAACTGCCCTGGAAACATTCAATATTTGGATATTTTCCTAGGGTTAGGGTAGAAAAAAATTTGTGTTTAAGGCACAAAGAGCATTCCTCTGTTGACATAAAGTTTCAAAGTTTTATAATTTTGTTTCTCTCAGTATTTCTACTTCACAGCATAGAACAACGATGCAGTAGATTTCTAGGTTATATGCAGTGACCTTCATATCTTGTGCTAGATGTTCAATGACTTCTAACTATCACCAACAGCAAGTTTAAAATTGGACCCCGTGGTGTTTTCTCTTTGTTTCCCCTTATAAGTCTTTGTCACACAAACTTGTGCTTTATTATTTATACAGAGTATATGTTGTGAACAATACAGGTTTTATGTATGTTACCAAAGACTGTAAACAAAAAAATATATTTAAAGCTATGCAAAAATGTGAATATTTGGCATATTATTGTTATCCGTGTAGTATTTCCTTAAGCTCCCAGCTCCAAGAGAGAAATGCCATTATAATAATATAACACAGCTTTATTCTCAGAATTCAATTTCATAAATCCTTACATATAAAAAGGCAAAACAACAGAAACTCTAATTTATCACCAGTAGTCTTAATATTTTCTTACAATTTTGCAATTAAAATTCCTGAAGAAAAGACATGACTGTCTACTTCTAGAGCACATACTTGCATCTTCCCATCTGAGCGTTATCACCTTTCTTTGTTGTAGGTGTTTGAGATATGAAGGCTACTTGGAGACGTGCCTGTCAAAAGAAGGCAACTCATGACACCTCCCCATAGCTATCCTTAAAAACCATTTTTTTGGAAAAATGTTAAATGCATTAACCTTGTTCTGATCTTGGGCACCTTGCTGCAAAGCCATTCTCAGGCAGGGATAATTGAAAGGTATGAATTTTTATATAGATTTAGCTGTTAAAGGATTTTTCCTGAGGCAAAGCCAAAGGCTAAACCCATGCCACACATTTAGATACCAGAACTATGGGCTGGCTCCAATGCCGCAGCTCAGAGATCCACAAATGAACAAAAGGCTCATGATATAGTTCTTGGTATAATTGATATGTCCCTTTTTTCCTTCATTTATACTTATCCAGCACATGTTCCTGCTTATGAAAGTGGGGACTGCTTCTAAACTTTAGTTTAAAGCCAGGAATTTAAATAGAAGGTGTTGCTAAGTTTATCTTTTTCAGGATATTCCTTTTTATGTAGCAACACTGTAATTTTGTGTTACTAGTAATATACAACATGGCAAAATGCTGTTCATGCAGAGTTAAATTATACTCGTAACAGGTACAGTTGAAATAGCCAACATAGTGTGGATCAATTGCATGATGCGAATTTACTGCTTTCCTACTTTAAATGAAAACCTGCATTCAGCAGAAGGATCACAAATTTTCTGGAGCAATTTGTTTGCGGTTTGATTTACTGAAATGCCAGTGGGCTTTACCTAAGAAGATTATTACGGCAAATGCCTATTGTGCTTCATTCACACATTCAGAGGATGGGGACGCCAAGAAAGGCTCCAGAGGGACGGAGCTGCCACTGCCTCATAACTCTCAAAAGGGTAACGCTATCCACAAAACCACCGGAGGATTCCTGTGTTTAATAAGGCTTTGAATCAGGAACGATTAATAACGTTTTATTGATCATAGCAACATCCTCATCTGAAATTTGGCTCCTTGAAAATTCAATTACATCATTTAAGAGGTAAGAGGTATATGCTCTGGGATCCTCCCTAAAAAACAAATAACACAAACTAAAAAACAACAAAAAAAGCAAAAACAAAACTCCATCTTCTTGACAATATTTCGTTTTAATATCTTGCGTGCTTTGTCAGAAGGCATTTGTAAATGAAAGCTGGCTTGTGTGTGCAACAACCTGAATATGGGAAACAATTCTTAAATCCAGTACATATGACTCTTGAATATTATTTTAAATAATCATCAGCTGTAAGGCAGAGGCAAATTCATAATCAATTGAAAATTAAAGTGAAAAACTGCTAAATATTTTTTTAAATTTCTCTGAATTCTCTCTAGAATTATTGAAAGCACATATCCATGGAAATGACACTGAATCACAAGTTAGTAATAAATGCATCTTCATATGGAAAACTGTGTTTGTATTACTTGTACTGAAGGATAAAGTTAGTGTTGAGGTTCACACATAATTTGTGTTGAAAATTTATTCACAGAAAATAGGCCCTTGGGTTGGCTAGTGCCTTCTTGCCCTCAATGCATTTTTGAAGCTATATTAAAAATTTCTCATAAAATAAACTCTAAATATTTTGAAAAGAAAGTAGAACTTTTTTGTCAAGTTCAATGCAAAAAGTGCCATTTATATTATATTTATTGTAAAAAAAATCTTATTTTGGTAAAAATTCCCTTATCGATCAAGTAACACGTGGGACAGTTATACTAAATTAAACGTACTCCACCTCCTTCTTTCATCTACATGTAGACAACATAATACCTGACTTTTAAAATATTTTAAACCTTTGGAATTTGTTTTAACTATGCATCTTTGGATAGACAAATAAAAAAACTCCAAGGTAGGCAGAACAGGATTTAGTGGGCCAGGGGAGAACCAAGAGAGTGAAATAGACTAAGATGAGGGCAAGACTTTGCTCAGTGAAGAGTACAGGGAAAATAACAGCCAGGAACTTTTTTATTTATTTATTTTTCCTCCCAAAAGCTGAAGGCAGACAATTCATTGACTAGATTTTTCTTATTGTCCTAAAGTTATTAATAAACTAACGTTGTTGGAAACTATAAAGACTCAAAGACTCTTTCACTATATTTTAGTTGAAAATTGATTGGAATACTTCTTCCAACACCAGTTATACTGCTTTAGAGTTCACCCTAAGAACCCCATTTAACTTAATCACCTCTTTGAAGACCACACTTTCAAATACATTGAAGGTACTGGGGGTTAGGACTTCAACATATGAATAAGAAAACGGTAACACAAAATTTAGCCCCTAATAGACAATAATTCCTTAGTGGTTACCTTAATTTTTACTTTAATGTCTTTAAATTCATTCAGCATTTTTTTCCCTGTGCTTACCATAGAGTAGGATGAAATTATTTATGGCTCTCTAGAGCTGCCCTAACAAAATTCCACAAACTGGATGGCTTAGAACAACAGCAAAGTCTTCTTTCACAGGTCGGGCTGCTGGAAGTCTGAAATCAAAGGTGTTGGCAGAGTGGCTTCCTTCTGAGGACTCAGGGAGAACCTGTTCTTTGTCTCACTTCTTGCTTCTGGTGGTTGCCAGCGATCCTTGGATTTCCTTGGCATGTAGCTCAATCAGATTAATTTCTGTCTGTGTCATCACATGCTGTCCTCCTCATTGTGTGTGGGTCTTGACATCGCCCTTTTATAAGGATAGCAGTCATCCATTCTAATCTAAAATAACCTTAATTAACTAGAGATGCAAAGACACAATTTCCAAATGAGATCACATATTGAGATTCCTGTGGATGTGAGGTTTGAGAGGAGGGCGACTGTTAAACCCCGTATGATAATCTGCATTTAATTTAAAACACTGTTGTCTTAGAAACACAGACCCCTCCCAAGAGACAGATCATTGTATATATATTTTTCCTCCCAAGGCTGGAATTCTTATTGTGGGGAGTGAAAACAATCAAAGAATGTAGATTGGTCGCCCCTGGAGGGCTGATCACTGATACTTCTGCACTCTGACCTATCTCCATGAGTTTGTATCCACAGGGTTTTCAATGGTGCACAGGAACTCCTACCAGAAACAATCCCTGACAGCAACCTGATGGTCAGAATTACACTCTCAATTTACAATATCAACAAGGTAATTGGAAGGAACTTGAGCTGGGTGAGAATTCTTGTTGCTTCATGAGAACCTGCATACTCCTTTTCCTTTCAGTGAATGACTATGTGTGGTCAATACAAGAAAGTATTTTCACTGGGCAAGACATGCTGGCAGTCGGTACTAAATATCCTATGCCTACTGCCTTATCATGAAATCTTGATCTCTGGTCTTATGTTCAGAATATAAGGGTAGCAAACATTAAAAAAAATCAAATCACAATAAAACTTATAGTCCACAATTAACCAAAGATAACTAGACACAAACAGTTGAGTCTAGGCTGCGTGCGGTGGCTCACTCCTGTAATCTCAACACTTTGGGAGGCCGAAGTGGGTGGATCACCTGAGGTCAGGAGTTCAAGACCAGCCCGGCCAACATGGCGAAACCCCATCTCTACTAAAAATATAAAAATTAGCCCAGCGTGGTGGTGGGTGCCTGTAACGCCAGCTACTCTGGAGGCTGAGGCACAAGAATTGCTCGAAGCCAGGAGGCAGAGGCTGCAGTGAGCTGAGATCATGCCATTGTACTCCAGCCTGGGCAAAAGAGAGAGACTCTGTCTCCAAAAAAAAAAAAAAAAAAAGGGTTGAATCTACCAGTAAATGAGAAATGTTTAAAAACCTGACTTCACTTGAAGTTTCGGTGAGTACACCTTGTCAAGGTGTATTAGTATTTCTAGATACACAGGTTTGGAGGAGGGGCATATCACTGAGATTGCTTCATATCAGCAAAGTAACCTATATCAAGGATGTACTGACTGGTATTTTGACATTTAGAAGCAGTCTAAAAAATAAACCAAAATGCCATTAAACATTCACCTTATAAAATAATTTACTCAATAGACAACCTCTCCTTATCAAGGGGTCCTACCCAATTCTAATATTTATTTCAGGAATGAGGTAAAGAAAATGTGGAAGGGCAATCCATGGTTATCTGCCTTGGTTTGTGACCAGTTATTTGGTACCAAATCTTGACCCGAGCTTATGTGAAGCTATTTGTATTGTATATTTTCCCCTTAGTGTGTGTAGTCATACATTTCCCTGCAGAATCTTCATGAGTTTGATTACATGGTATTACCCCAGTCCACTGATGGAGTTTTACATAATAAATAAGACACATTCCAAAATACAAAAAATAAATAAATAACTGCAAATTACACTAGATCCCAAGAGTTTTGAAAACAAGGATTGTAGACTTGTACTTCTATTTCAAAGACAAACATTGGCAGTATATTAGTTTTCTAGGGCTGCCATAACAAAATACCACAGACTGGGTGACTAAAACAATGGAAATGTATTTTCTTACAACTCCAGAGGCTACGGCTGAGAAACCAAGGTATCAGCAGTTTTGGTTTCCTCTGAGACTTCTCTCCTTGGCTTGCATATGGCCATCTTCTTGTGTCTTTACGTGGACATCCCTCTGTGTGTGGGTCTGTGTCCTAATCACCTTTTCTTATAAGGATGCCAGTTATATTGCATTAGAGTCCACCCTAAGAACCTGATTTAACTTAATCACCTCTTTAAAGACCACATCTTCATTGGAGGTATTGGGGGTTAGGGCTTCAATATACGAATGAGGAAAGGGTAACACAAAATTTAGCTTGTAATAGGCAACAATTTCTTAGTGGTTACCTTAATTTTTACTTTAATGTCTTTACATTTATTTAGGATTTTTTTTCTTGTGTTTACCATAGAGTAGGAAACTATAATGGTTTATCCTTTTTTTACTTTGCTAATACAGACATTCTGCAACCTAAAGATGAATCAATTGGAGAATAGTCAAGTCTGGATTTGGAGACAGTTGTAGAAAGACATTTCGATGCCATAGCAGAGCTTTTTGCAGGTAGCGGTGCCTACGAACCTTGACTGCATGGTAGCTGTGATGGAGGGCCAGTTAAGGCAATGGCGTGTTGTGCCTGAGGGGCCCAGTTGTTAAGGAACAGCAGAGGATGCATTGCACCATTATTCATTGCACTTACACTGTGGTGCAGTGGATCTCTGGAGGCACTGGTGAAACTTATATATTGTCTCTTTGATCTGAGAGACCAAAATAGTTGCCCCTTTATCAACTACTATGAAATCTAAAATTGCAAAAACAGAAGTTGCCTACAGGTCAAGGGTTCATGCCCTGGCTGGCATGGCAACTTCCTAAATTCCTATAGCTACAAGAAAAAACACACTTTTACTAAGCTCCCTAACGATAGGAGCTATTAGGAAAATTGTCAGCCCCTTCCAAACTCTGGTTTTGAACCCAGAACAATATAGCTATGATTGAACAGCCGCTGGCTTTACAAGCATTCTTTCCTGATAAGCAACTGCAGACATTAAGCCAGGTTTAGCCAGCTTATAGAGACTTTGCACAAACTGTCCTTGTGTCCTATAGTTCTTTGAACATAAAGAGCCAAATTCTACCTCATTTTAGTGTCAAAACCCCACGTTAAAGTGAACATGGAATGTATGTTACATATATGTTTACCTATTGCACATGTGCTCAGCTCCCCTCATAAATATGTATAGCTTTTCCCTCAAACATGCTGAATATGTATGACCTTATTGTGTAATAGAAGCCCTGTGAGGCAAAAACCAACCTGCCTCTTTCCTCTTTGAAGAGATAACACCTTTAGTACTCAATGGAGACGTTCTCTTCCTGGTTTGCAAACTGTTATCACCTAAAAAACCCTATTTTCTGCTATTTAGTCATCCTGGGGGTCTTTTGGATGACACTTCCATCTACTTCTATTACGTTTTTCTTCAGTCAGCTTGGAATATGAGTGGAGTCTTTCTAGGTTTCCTTCATTTACTACTCAGTCAGACTCTTGCTTCACAAAAGGAAAGCATCATTGAAGTCTGTTCTTTGTTTATTTCAGTTTGCTCTTTATTATATCAAGAAAACCACCTCCAAGTTTTTAAGATGCATATACCATACTTTTCTACTTCCTTGTACTGAAGCAGTTTTAGTTAATGATTATTCATTCATTTGGTAATTCATTTGGTAAATGTGTAATGAATATCTGTTAAGAAGCACTATTAAGCATTGGGTAGCTTAAGCACAGTATCTTTGTATTGACAAAATGCCCACCTCTTAATGAGCCATATAATTGAGATCATTTTGGGAGAAATAGCGCTTTGCAGTCATAACTTGTCTCGGGAAAAATTACGGGAGCCGCGGGGGTACTGGGGACTTCGTTTTTCTAAAAACCATGAACTTTCCCTGTAATTCTATTGCAGTTTTGTAACTTAAGAGTGGAGCGAAAGAGTTTAGCTATTATTATTGTAAGCGATATTTTGTTTAATAATGCTCCAAGATGAATAGTGAGTAGTCAAGATAAAAAATTAAAATAATAATACCAAAGGATTTGGAAATGAATTATTTAGGGATTTAGTGAAATACTTGAGAAGCTGTGTTCTATGATTTACATGAGATATGGCTAAACTGTCTAACACCCTTACCAGGATAAATCTCACCATATATATAGATTAGTTCTCCTATTTACTTACCAAAGGATATCAAAATAGTTGGGACATGTAATGGCCCACACAGAGCAGGCATTGAGGAAGTACAATTTTACCCAACTTCTCAATCAGCAGATATGTTAAAGGAGGTGTACAACTGAAAGCTAACACTATTTGTCAGGGAGTAAAATCTCATTGAATCTGGAACCCAGAAGGCATTTGTGCTGTTCAAGGCACCTAAACACTAACTCTGCCTTTCCCATGCCATCTACCCACAAGGGAAGAAGTCACTATGCTTAAGGACACAATAGAACATTACCTGTTAATTTATTTGAAATGAATTATATAAAATTATAATATAAAAATATTTAACATGCTGAATGGCAGCATGAGGACATCTGCAGAATAGATCCCTAGTGAAATCACTACAAACAGTGGAAATTATAAAAACAACCACCATTTAAAGTCTCTGGAAATTGTCCTAAGGGCACACAGCAAGTGATGAAACATTCATTTAAAAAAATCTAATACATCTCAGTAATAACAGTGAGACTCTGTGTCACTGAAGCCACAGCTTGCTCCTTCCCTCTATTCCCTAGCTCAGACTGATGGACGCTCTGATCTAGCACACATGGTCAGGAAGAGGAAACTCTTCCCCCTGCCCCGTAGTTCACAGTCAATGGCTACCGTAGAGTCCCTGTACGGGTAGATCTTCAGCATTTCCCATCCCCCACCACGCTCTGTTTATCAGAGGCTAAAATCCACGCAAGGGTGGCCTAGAGTTATGAGACTTCCTTTTCCACCCAGTCCTGATCCACCCAAAGGTGAATGCTCCACCTTAGGCATGGCAGGCTGAGAATCCGGGGGTCTCTTCTGCCCTTGTCCCAGCTTGTAGGGCAGTGGTTCCACACTAGCCACCACCAGAGGCTACGGCCCCCACCCAGCACCCCTTTCATAAAACAGGATACTTCCTCTGAGAGAAACAGCCCATTGGCCAACTCCTAAGTGGCTTAGAGATTTTTCCCAAAGGAAGTAGTAGATCATAAGACATAAACTGTGAATCTCTCCGCAGAATAACAGACTTCATAAAAGAGAATGGGGAAGCTTAAGCCCAAGGGTGCTCTAGAAAACAATGAACATTTTGGTGATAAACAATTAAGAGGAGGCTGGTAGCTCCTAGAAGGTGACAAGCTAAATTGTAAAACAATCTGGTTCACAATAGTGAACCAGGAGAAAAGGCAGCTAAGGAGAGCCTTCCTTGCATCAGAATACACTACATAGGCTGGCCAGTGAAACTATTCCTGCAAAAGGGCCCAAATTTGATCAAGTCAGACTGGAGAAATGTAAGCCACAAGGCGTTATGGGAAACAATCCGGCAGTCAGCACGCAATTAAAGACTGATTTATAGAAACTAAATTTCAGTGAGGTAGCAACGTCTCCCTTGTGCTGCTCTATTACATCTTTTCACATTTTATGCTATTATTGTTACACATATCACTTCTACACTCACAACAATAAATTGTTATAATTTTTATTTATATAGTTTTATATCTACTAAAGAAGCTGAGAGAAGAAAGGAGAGCACTGTACATTTACAGGTTTTGCTACATTAACCTTTCTTTTACCGTTTCTTGTTGTTTTCATTTATTCCTTTGCATTTATTTGCCCTGCAATTGCCAAATATACATTATTTTATACAATTTTAAGAAATCAATTAATGAAAGAAAAGACTAAATACATATTTATATTCTCTTTTGTAATCATAAACAATGGTAGAGTACACATTCTCCTTAAACCTCATGGTACCTTCACCAAAATAGACCACGTTCTGTGAAATAAAACACACCTTAACAAATGTAACAGTAGAGACATCAAAGTATACTATAACCACAATGGAATTAAAGTGAAACAATTAAAGGAATATAGCTGGAAAAATCCCAAAATATTTGGAGATTACACAACACACACTAAAGGGCAGATTGGTCAAATAACAAGAGTCTAGGGAAATTTTTAAAAAAGTTTAAAACTAAATTAAAATGAAAATACAACCTATCTGCACTTGTAGGATGCAGCACAAACAGTGATTAGAGGGAAATTTGTGGCATTGAATGCACTCGAAAAGAAGGAACATCTAAAATCAATAATCAAAGCTTTCATATTAAGCAACTAGAAAAAGAAGAGGAAATTAGATCCAAAGCAAACAAAAGGAAATAAATAATAAAATTCAGAGCAGAAATCAATAAAACTGAAAACAGAAAAACAACAGAGAAAATCAACGAAATCAAAAGCTAGTTTCTCAAAAAGATCAATAAAATGGATAAACCCTCAGCAGGCTAGCCAAGAGAAAAAGAAGAAGACACAAGTTACTAATACAGACATGCATCACTTAACAATGGGAATACATTCTGAGAAATACATCATTAGGCACTTTTATTATTGTGTGAATATCATAGAGTGCACACACTTACACAAGCCTGGATAGCACAGCCTACTACATATCTAGGCTATGTGGTAAAGCTCATTGCTTCTCTGATACAAGCCTGTACAACATGTTACTCTACTGAATACTGTGACAACTGTAACACAATGATAAGTATTTGTTTATCTAAATACATTAAGCATAGAAAAGCTACAGTAAAAATACAGTATGAGACCACTGTCACATATATAGTCCATCATTGACTGAAACATTGCCATACAGTGCATAATCAATATCAGAAATAAAAAGGGCCATTATTGCTGATTTCATAGATATTAATGGGATAATAAAGACATAATATTAAAAACAATATTTATATTAATGTTAATATTAATAAACACATAATAATAGACATTATATTAACAATAAAGATAATATGAGCAACTCTATGGCCACAAATTTAATAATTTGGATAAAACGGACCAAGTCTTTGAAGGACACAATCTACTCAGACTGACACAAAGACAAATAGATAATTAGAATAGACCTGTATCTACTAAAGAAATTGAACTTCAACAAATGGAAAGCACCAAGCTCAGATGGGTTCACTGGTGAATTCTACCAAAATTTCAGGAAAAAATGCTACAAATTTTCTGAAATCTGTTTCAGAAAAGAGAAATACAGGAAGTGCTTTCTAACTCATTGTATGAGGAAAGTACAATTGACGAAAAACATGAATTTGAATTGCATTCATATGCAGATTTTTTTCATTAAATACATTGAAAAATGTTTTGGAGATTTGGGACACTTTAAAAAACTCAGATGAACCAAGTAGCCTAGAAACACCAAAAGATTAAGGAATTGTTGAGTATGTCATAAGTGTATAGAATGTATGTAGATACTAGTCTATTTTATCATTTACTACCATAAAAATTACACATGTCTATTATAAAAAGTTAAAATTTATCAAGATGCACACACAAACACAGACTTGTACATGGTGCCATTTTCAGTCCTGAGAAATGTAAACAAACATAAAGATACTGCAATAAATCATAACTGCATACAGTTAACAGTTACGCATGCTGTACTACTGTAATAATTTTGTAGCCACCTCTTGTTGCTCTTGTGTTGAGCTCAAGTGTTGCCAGTAGAGGCCTGATATGCCATGTGAAGCTAATTAACTGCCATGTGAGCAGTTCCTCTCTCCAGTAAATTTTGAATTGCATAAAAAGTGACCTCTTATGGTTCTTGCATGTATTTTTCATCTGGCTTAGTGTAATACCATAAACCTTGAATAATACCATGAGACCCATACAAAGTGTCACTAGTGATACTGGAAGTGCTCCCAAGAAGAAGAGAAAAGTCCTGACACTACAAGAAAAACATTGAATTGTTTGGTACGTACCGTAGATTGAAGTCTGCAGCTGAGATGGCCACCCTTTCAAAATAAAGGAATCCCGTGTAAGGACCATCATAAAAAATGAAAAAGAAAATTTGTGAAGCCATTGTTGTAGCTATTCCAGCAAACACAAAAACCTTGCACTTTTAATGGAATCCCTTTTTATAGCATATTGAAAATGCAGCCTTTATGTGGGTGCAGGATTGCTGTAAGAAAGGCATATCTATAGACTCTAACATGATTCGAGAAAAAGCAAAGTCATTATATGACAAAGAAAAAAGAAGACGACGAATCTTAAGCTGGAGAATTTAATGCCAGCAAGGATGGTTTCATAATTTTAGAAAAAGGCTTTGGCTTAAAAAATGTCAAGATAACGGGAGAAGCAGTTTCTGAAAACTAAGAGGCAGCAGACACATTCCAGATGCCATTAAGAAAATCACTGAGAAGAAAATATATCTGACTGAACAGGTTTTGAACACACAGACAAAAGTGCTCTATTCTGGAAAGAATGCCACAAAGGACATGTATTAATAAAGAAGAGAAGTGAACACCAGGATTTGAGGCAGGAAGGGATAAGCTAACTCTACTGTTTTGTGCAAATGCAGTCAGGTTTATGATCAGGATGGCCCTTACCTACAAAGCTGCTAACCCCAGGCTTGAAGGGAAAACATAAACCCCAGCTGCCAGTCTTTTGGTTGTACAAGAGGAAGGCCTGGACAATGAGAATCCTTTTTCTGGATTGTTTCTATTTATGCTTTGTCCCGGAAGTCAGGAAGCATTTTGTTAGTAAGGGACTGTCTTTTAAAGTTCTTTTGATATTGGACAATGCCTCTGGCCACCCAGAACACCATGAGTTCAACAGCAAAGGCATCTAAGTGGTCTATTTGCCTCAAACACAAAGTCTCTACTTCAGCCTCTAGATCAGGGGTCATAAGGACTTTATAAAAAATAGTTTATAGAAAAAAATTGTCAACACTATGGAAAAATTCACAGGATTTAGGACAGAACCAATAAAGGAAATCATGAAAATAAGTCTGTATTTGGCAAAAAAAAAAAAGGTTGGGTGGGTATGAAGGGTTTCAAGATATGGATCATGGAGAAATTCAAGAGCTTATTGACACCACACAAGAGGAATTAACAGATGACTTGATGGAGATGAGCACTTCCAAACCAATGCTAGACAATGAGGAAGATGACGTAGAAGAAGCAGGGCCAGAAAACAAACTAACGTGAGACAATCTGGCAGAAGTGTTCTGATTATTCAAGACAGCTTTTAACTTCTTTTACAGCTTAGACCCTGATGCTGAAACTAAAGCAAACGGGGGGAAAAGAATGGGCACCATGTAGAATGTTTTGTGCCTTTTTTTTTTTTTCCGAGTCTTGCTCTGTCACCTAGGCTGGAGTGCAGTGGCGTGATCTCAGCTCACTGCAACCTCCACCTCCCCACCTCAAGTGATTGTCCTGCCTCAGTCTTCCAAGTGGCTGGGATAACAGGTGCCCGCCACCATGCCTGGCTAAGTTTTGTATTTTTAGTAGAGATAGGGTTTCACCATGTTGCCCAGGCTGGTTTAGAACTCCTGACCTCAAATGATCCACCCGCCTCCACCTCCTAAACTGCTGGGATTACAGGAGTGAACCACTGCATCCAGCCAAAAATATTTTTAGAAAAATAAAAAGCAAAACTGTCGAACAGAAATTAGGATGTATTTCCATAAAGTTACACCAAGTGTGCCAGCCTCTCCTGCCTCCTCTCCCACCTCCTCCACTTCTCCCACCTCTGCTAGCCCTGAGACAGTAAGACCAATAACTCTTTTTTCTCCTTTTCAACCTACTCAACATGACAATGATGAGGATAAAGACCTCTGTGATGATCCACTTCCACTTAATGAAAAGTCACAAATTTTCTCTTCCTTTGGATTTTCTGAACAATCTTTTCTTTTTCTTAGATTACTTTATTGTAAAAACACAGTATATAACACATATAACATAGAATATAAAATATGTTTTAATTGACTGTTTATGTTATCAGTAACAGTGGGCTATTCGTAGTTAAGTTTTGGTGAGTCAAAAGTTATTCAAAAATTTTTGACTGTTTAAGGATCAGCACCCTCAACTCTTGTGTTGTTCAAGAGTCAGCTGTATTACCCTAATGCCAAAACCAAATACATCACCAAAAAGAAAATCTAAAGACTTACATCTCTCATAAACCCAGATGCAAAATTGCTCAATAAAATATCAGTAAAGCAAATTCAAAAGTGTATGAAAAATAATTATACACAATGAGCAGCTGGAATTTATTCCAGGCTGTTTCAACATTAGAAAATTCATAAATGTCTACCTTGTCAAAAGGCTAAAGAAGAAAATTTCACAAGATCCTATTAATAGATTTTTCGAAAGCATCTGACAAAATCCAACATATATTCATGAGAAAAGAAAAGAAAACACCCCCTGCAAAAAATCTCAGCAACCCAGAAATAGAGAACAACTTTATTAACTTGATAAACAGCAACCAAAATAATCTATACCTGATTTTATACTTAATGGTGAGAAACTAGGTGCTTTCTCCCTAAGATAAAGAACAATCCAAGAATGCCTTCTCTTACCACTTTTATTACACATTATAATAAAATCCTGGCTAACGCAATAAGAGAAGAATATGCAAGGTATATAGACTGAGGAAAAATGAAGTAAAATTGTTTTTGTTCACAGATGACATGACTAATTGTCTATGTGGAAAATTCCAAAGAATCAACAACAACAACAGCAACAACAACAACAAAACCCTTCTAGAATGAATAAGAGATTAAAGTTGCTGGATATAAGGTTAATATATAAAAGTAAAATACTGTCGTATATACCATGAATAAATAACTGAAATTTGAAAATAATAAAAATCACACCACCATTTAATGTAGCAGCAAAAAGTGAAACAATTCGTTCTAAATATAATAAAATATGCACTATATATATATTAGAAAAACCTATACAACTCAAATGAGGGAATTCAAGAAAGGTCTAAATAAACAAAATGGCATTAATGCATAGGAAGGCTCAATATTATTAAGACGTCAGTTTTTCTCAATCAGTAGACTCCATTTAATCCTTATTGAAATCTCAGTAAATTAATTTTGGTTATCAACAAACTGAGTCTAAAGTTTATATGGAAAGGAAACACGAAGGAAAGCCAAAACAACATTGAAGAAGATGAAGTTGGAGGACTGACATTACCCAACTTCAAGTCTTACAAGAAAGCTACAATAATCAAGACAGTGTGGTATAGGTGAAAGAACAGATAAGTAGGTCAGAGGAACAGAATAAAGAGCACAGAAATAGACCCAGATAAATACAGTCAATTGATCTTTGACAAAAGAGTAAAGGAAATTCAATGCAGAAAGGATAGTCTTTTTAACAATGATGCTGAAACAACTGTACATCCATGTGCAAAATAAATAAATAAATAAATAATTCAGCAGGGCATGGTGGCTCACGCCTGTACTCCCAGCACTTTAGGAGGTCGAGGAAGAAAGATCACGAGGTCAGGAGATCGAGACCATCCCGGCTAACATGGTGAAACCCTGGCTTTACTAAAAATACAAAAAATTAGCCGGGCTTGGTGGCGGGTCCCTGTAGTCCCAACTACTCCAGAGGCTGAGGCAGGAGAATGGTGTGAACCTGGGAGGCAGAGCTTGCAGTGAGCCGAGATCACGCCACTGCACTCCAGCCTAGGCAACAGAGAGAGACTCCGCCTCAAAAAAAAAAAAAAAAAGATTCTAGATACAGACCCTAGATATTTCACAAAAATGAAATCAAAAGGAATCATAAACCTAAATGTAACATACAAAACTATAAAACTTCTAGAACATAACAGGAGAAAAGGTCGGTGACCTTGAATGTGGCAAAAAAATATTTCATATATAAAAACAATAGCAAAATCCATCACAAAAAACATTGATAAGTTGGTCTTCATGAAAATTTAAGTCTTCTGCTCTGTCAAAGACATAGCTAAGAGAGTGAAAAGGCAAGACACAGATTAGGAAAAATCTTTTCAAACCTAGATGTGTTAAAGGATCGTGTCCAATATATTATACAAAGGAAACACTTTCAAAACTTAACAACAAGAAAACAAACACCCCAATTACAAAGTGGGAAAAATATCTGAACAGACAACCCATCAGAGAAGACACACAGATGCAAGTAAGCATATAAAAAGATATTCAGTACCATATGTCACAGGGAATTACAAATTAAAACAGGAATGAGATACTTTTCTACCTATTAGAGTAGATAAAATTCAAAATGCTAACAATGCCAAATTCTGGCAAGGATGTGAAGCAATGGGGACTCTCATTCATTCCTGGTGAGAATGCAAAATGATACAGCCATTTTAGAAGACAGTTGGCAGTTTCTTTTAAAGCTAAATATAGTCTTAACATATGATTCAGGAAATGTGCTTTTAGGTATTTATCCAAATGAGTTAAAAACTCACATCCACACAAAGAGTAACACATGAATATGTATAGAAGCTTTATTCATAATTTCCAAAACTTGGAAAGGTTCTTCAGCAAGAGTCAATGAATAAACTGTGCTACATCTATTCGGTGTTAAAAAATAATGAGTTTTCAAGCCAGGAAAAGACATGGAAGAGCTTTAAATACAGATTGCTAAGCAAAACAAGCCAGTATGAAGAGGCTACATAATGTTTGCTTCTAACAATATGACATTCTAGAAAAGTCAAAACTATAGAGACATTAAACAGATCAGTGGTTGACAAGAGTGGATGGGAAGGTGGTTGTGCCCAGGAAATTTTTAGGACAGTAATACTCTTCTGTATGATATTCTAATGTTGGATACAAGCCATTATGCATTTGGCAAAATCCCTAGAACTATACAATATAAAGAGTGAACCCTAATGTAAACCATGAAATTTAGTTAACAATAATATGTCAATATTGGTTCATCAATTGTAACAAATGTATCACACCAATGCAAGATATTAGCAATTGGTGGGGAACAGAGTGAGTGAGAAAGAGGGTGAGAACTCTGTGTGCTTTCTGCTCAATTTTTCTATAAATAGAAAACAGCTCTAAAAATAAAATCTATTAACTTAAAAACAAAAATAACTGATTAATATCAATAAATGAGTTCACCAAGTATGCAGAACACGGATCAATATTAAAAAACCATGACATTTCTAGACATTAGCAATGAACAATATCAAAATAAAGTTATAATAGCAATGCCATTTACCTGCAATTGCATCAAAAGAAAAAAAATCATAGGAATAAATTTAACAAGGGAAATACCAAATTTATAGTCTAAAATTTACAAAACATTTTGAAATAAATTGCAGTCAATCTAAAAGAATAAAAATGTATTATCTACTCATGGTTTGAAAGACTTTATTTTGTTAAGATGGCGCTATTTCCCAAACTGATCTACAGATTCAATGCAATCATAAACCTAATCCCAGTAGGATTCTTTTCAGAAATTGAGAAGATGACTCTAAAATTGATATGAGAAAACAAGAAACTCAGAATAGTCAAAGCAATCTTGAAAAATAACAAATTTGGAGGACTTAACGCTTCTTAATTTCAAAATTTTCTATAACACTGCAGTAATTAATACAGTATGGCACTTGCATAAGGATAGACATATAGATCCATGGGATAGAATTGAGTGTCAAGTAATACACTCTCATGTTTATGATTAGTTGATTATTTTAAACAGGTACTAAGGCTGGACACAATGGCTAACGCCTGTAATCCTGGCATTTTGGGAGGGCCAGGAGGAAGGATAGCTTGAGCTCAGGAGATCAGCCTAGGCAATAACCACAAAAAAAACCTTGTCTCTACTAAAAAAAAAAAAAAAAAAAAAAAAAAAAAAAAATTAACCTGTCATGGTGGCACATGCCTGTAATACCAGCTACTAGAGAGGTTGAAGTGAGAAGATCACTTCAGCCTGGGAGATCAGGGCTGCAGTGAGCTATAATTGCACTCCTGTACTCCAGCCCTGGCAACAGAGTGAGTCTGTCTACAAAAAAAAAAAAAAAAGTACCAAGATAATCTATGTAATAAATAAACTTGGACCCATACCTCACACCATATACAAAAGTTGCCTCAGAATGGATCACTGACCTAAATGTAAGATCTAAAACTATAAAACCCTTAGAGGAAAATATAGGAGTAACATTTGTGACCTTAGGTTTGGTAAAGCTGTTATAGTTTGACATCAAAAGTAAAAGAGACACATAACAAAAATTATATTTTTTTGAACTTCAAAGGATACTATCAACGAAGTTAAAAGACAATTTATAGAATGGGAAAAAACATCTGCAAATTATGTATCTAATACATGATTTGTATCTTGAAGATACAAAAAAACTCATAACACAATAGCAAAAATACAACCTAATAAAAAATGGAAAAATAATCTGGATAGACATTTATCCAAAGAAGATGCAAAAGTGGTCAACAGGCACACAAAATAGTGCTCAACATTTGCTGACATTTAGGGAGATTCAAAACAATTTTGTGGTGAGGTACCACTCCACACCTACTAGGATGGCTATGATCCAAAAGACAAACAATAACCAGTATTGTTGAGGGTGTAGAAAGCTTTTAACCTTCATACATTGCTGTTAGAAATATAAAATGATGCAGCTACTTTGGAAAATAGCTGGGCAGTTAAAGAGTTAAACAAAGAGTTAGTGCTATAGTTTAGCTATGATTTATTGGTCCCTTTCAAACCTCAGGTTGAAAGTTGATCTTCAGTATTGCGGATGGGGCCTAATTGGAGGTGTTTGG
The DNA here is from genome assembly GCF_000001405.40 of Homo sapiens. Taxonomy (NCBI): domain Eukaryota; kingdom Metazoa; phylum Chordata; class Mammalia; order Primates; family Hominidae; genus Homo; species Homo sapiens. Next base: position 179,501,870 of record NC_000004.12, on the reverse strand, counting down.
GTCATGGTGGTGGATCCCTCTGGAATGGCTTGGTAGTGAGTGAGTTCTCACTTTATTACTTCCTGCAAAAGCCGGTTGTTAAAAAGAACCTGGCACCTCCCTAGTCTCTCTCTTGCTTCTTCTCTTGTTATGTGATCTCTGCACACTGGCCTCCCCGCCTTCACCTTCTGCAATGTGTAGAAGCAGCCTGAGGCATTCACTAGATGCCCAGTCTTCCAGCCTGCAGAATCATGAACCAAATAAAACTTTTTTTTTTTCATAAATTACCCAGCCTCAGGTATTCCTTTATAGAAACACAAATGGATTAAGACAGTTACCCTATGATCTACCAACTCCACTCCCAGGTATACACCCAAGAGAAAGAAAAGCATACATCGACACAAAAACTTGTACACTAATGTTCATAGAAGTTTTATTCAAAATACCCCAAAATTAGGAATTCCTCAAATATCTGTCTGGATGAGTGAATAAATAAAATTTGTGTATACATACAATGGAATATTATTAGTCAATAAAATGAAATAACGTAATGATACATACTAGAACATGGATGAACCTTGAAAACATTATGCTAAGTAAAAGAAGTCATTCATAAAAGTCTACATATTATATGATTTTATATGCAGTATATGAAATGTCCAAAATAGACATATATTATATAGAAATAGAAAAATAGTGGTTGTCTAGGATTAGTAGTTGGGGGAGAGAATAGAGCTAGGGTGGTGAATTTCATGGTTTTGGATTATGTTTCAATAAAAGTATTATAAAAATTTTTAAGACCAGGTGTCGTGGCTTATTCCTGTAATCCTAGCAATTTGGGAGTGCCAGGTGGGTGGAGAGCTTAAGCCCAGGAGTTCAATATCAACCTAGGCAACATGGCAAAACCCCATCTCTACAAAGAATAAAAAAGGTTAGCCAGGTGTGGAGGTGCACACCTGTAGACTTAGCTACTCAAGAGACTGAGGTGGGAGAATCTCCTGTGCCCAGGGAGGTTGAGACTGCAGTGAGCCATGATGTCACCTAGGTGCACTGCAGCCTAGGTGACAGAGTAGAACCCTGTCACAAAAAAGTGTATAAAATAAAATTAAACACTGTGGGCAGTGGTGCATGCCTGTAGTCCTAGCTACTCAGAAGTGTGAGGTGGAAGGATTGCTGGAAGCCAGGTGTTTAAGACTATAGTGAGCTATGGTCACACCTTGTGAATAAACAATGTACTCCAGCCTGGCCAACGTATTGAGACACTAGCTCTAAAAAAAAATTATATATTTTTTTGGGAGGCTGAGGCAGGAGAATCGCTTGAACCCGGGAGGCAGAGGTTGCAGTGAGCTGAGATCGTGCCACTGCACTCCAGCCTGGGCGATGGAGAGAGACTCCATCTCAAAAAATATATATATTTTTTACTTATATAAAAATTTATACATTATATTTATAGTATTTATGTACATATTTATATATATATTTATATAAATAAAATGTATATATAAAATTTACACATATAAATTATTTATGAATTGATATATAGTATAAATATATAAATCTGTACTTATACATAATTATAATCATATAGAATACATATTTATACTTAAAATTTAATAATATATATTTATATATTTAAACTATATGTGACTGTTATATATTATATAATTATATAACTACATCTATTTATATATAATTATATATAATAATACATATAAACATATATAAGTGAAGAGATTGAGAGAGAGACAGAAAATACTGCTTATGGTCAAAAAGAAGATTAGGTATCCAACAAGACCCTCCTTTTTGCAGACACATGTTCATATTAGGGATACTGAGGTTCAAGGGAGGGCCTTATGCACTGCACTGGTTATGGCCCTTGTTTCTACTTTTATTCACATGTGCATTTGTGTTCTTGGCTAATTAAACCAATGAGGTTTTTTCTAACCTCATATTTCATCAACAAGTATTTGCATGTATGTGGTTTCCTCTAGCAATGTGACGCCTTCATCAGTATTATTTATGGATGCCCCAGCTGAATCAGGAGATCAGGTTCAGGTTTAATACCTGACATGAGCAAAACTGAAACAATCCTATTATAATCTGTTCAATATCAAATATGCTAAATAAGAAATATCCGTGATAGTGTTTAGTAATCAGAGATGAATGTTTCATGCAGTTTAAAATAAAGATAGGTTTCTGTACAACTTATTTATAAATTATAATATGTTGCATGTACCTATTATTATTTTGTGAATCTTTTTGATTACTTTTAGTTCATCGTTTACTTTTATTTTGTTACTGAAATTTAACTACAAAATTTCAATTTTGAAGGAAATTTGAGATGAGAGCACATTAAAAAGACCACAATGGGAAAAATGTCATTTTGTAACAAATAACTGTGATAATAGTCATGTTGGTGTACTTTAAGGAATATAAATAAGAAGGATGTAGCTACATCCATGAAGAGTGACATTAAGGAGAGGAAGAGAGAGATTGTAAATATTTCCATAATTTCTATATTAAGATACAAGCTAAAATGATATATCATCTGATCGCATTTGTGAAAATTATAGCACTATTTTAATAATAATAGTCTGCGAATACCAAAGTTGTTTATCTGTCTATGTATTTTTTTGTCTCATATCTTGACCTTGGCTAAATTGCCTAAACTCTTATCATAATGTCATCTTTAATAAAATTGTAATAACTTTTACTCACAGAATTGCACTGAAAAGTTTCCTCTGATTGAATGTAAACGTCGTTTCAGTCTGTTTATAACTGATGCTGAAATAGCCAACTGATTTAGTCATTGCAATAAAACACCTGTCAATTCAATAAAAATGATAGACATTACTATTTTACTGTGTCACTATTGAAAGTTAGTTGCTTTTATTTCCACTTTTTAACAAAACACAAGGCAAGATAGTACTCAGAGGATGTAACTTACACAAATTTGACACTAGATACATGAATTTAGTATCTGTGTCCTTTAAGTCCTTTACGACTGCAAGTAGACTTATTGTAATCAAATATTTACAAATTTGTGATTTTTTTATTTTATTCATATTGAAACAAAAATGTTTGTCTTACTAAAGATATTACATTTGTTTCTTTGCCTGAATTTCCTAGTAGATATATTTTCTAGTAATATTATTGCCTTAGCATTATTATGACATGCATTTGCTTGACATGTTATTGCTTGTAAAAAAATATATGTAGTATGTACATGTATACATTCATATATTCAGAATATGGTCGTTAATACAAGTTGTTTTCTCTGGTTCCTAGAGAAGGCCACTGGTAAAACTGAAACATCCTTTTCTGACTTACTTCTTTCAGAAAATTCATGCTTTTGTAAGTACCTTTTCATTAATATGGAAAACCCCTCCTGCTCAAAAATTCTAGAGCTGGAGTGGTTTTTTATTTTTCTGGTCCACTCTGGTGAAGCAGATTCCAAAGTCCAAAATTTGAGTCCAAAGCACAAGAAATAAATCTGGTATGAAACCTGAAGGTATACACCCATTACTAAAGAACTGTATCAATTACTTATTGATTACATAACCAGCCACTGCAAAATGTAGTGACTTAAAACAATATACCCTTTTTATGGCTGATAAATCTGTAGGTCAACTATGTGAGCCTGTTGATCTGGGTAAGGTGTAGGTTATCTCAGCAGCGTTATCTTATGAATTTGAAGTTGACTGACACATTGGCCAGGGCTTGGCTAGTCTAGAATGGCCCCGTATTTTGGTGGTTGACCTGCCAACAGTTGGGACAAAAGTCAAGTCTGGAACTTGTATTTTAAAATATCTAGCAGATTAACCCAAGCTTGTTCACACATGATGGCAACAGGGTTTTGAAGGAGAGAGAAAGGGAGAGATGGATAGAGATAGAGAAGGAGAAAAACAGAAGAGAGAGAGACAGACAAAGCCTCTGAAGGCTTAAGCTCAGAAGTGATATGTTTACTCTTCCACTGCATTCCACCAGCCAAAGCAATTCACAAGGTCAGTTCAGATCCCAGGGAATGCACATCTCTTAATGGGAGGAAATTCTAAGTTATATTGCCAAGTGTGTGGATAAGATTTAGGTAAAGAATTGTGATCTTGTTATTTATTTATTTATTTATTTATTTTTGAGACAGAGTTTTGCTGTTTCGCCCAGGCTGGAGTGAAGTGGTGTGATCTCGGCTCACTGCAACTTCCGCCTTCCGGAATCAAGTGATTCTCTGACCTCAGCTTCCTGAGTAGCTGGGATTACAGGCGCCTGGCTAATTTTTGTATGTTTAGTGGAAACAGGGTTTCTCCATGTTGGCCAGGCTGGTCTCGAACTCCTGACCTCAGGTGATCTGCCTGCCTCGGCCTTCCAAAGTGCTAGGATTACAGGTGTGAGTCACTGCTCCCCACCATTTTTTTTCTTTATTAAATCTATCACAGTATTCAGCCCTGCAACAAAGATGGGATTACACATAAGCTTATTATTTCATATGACGCTAAGTTTTACACCATTAAGTTGAGAGATAAGCCTAGGTCATGGAAGAATAAAATCAAGCAGACTGAGGCATTATATATAAGTCAGGGTCAGGGGAGAGATTTTGGGTATGATTATTGCAAGAAAGAATTATATAAGTGAGACATTAGTGCTGTTTAGTTGAGGCAATTCTATTGTCTAGAAAACATCACTTCCAAAAGACTTTTGCTGTTCAAGAGATTTTTTGTGTCCTCACTTTTGCAGAAGGAGGAAAAGAGTGTAAGCTGTGCAGCTTCCTTCAGGCATAGCCATGAGGAATATCAGATAAGAATATACTATAGGTTGCTGAATCAGGATTCCTGGAAATCAATGAACAAGAGTTTTCTTCCCAGAAATGAGCATTAGGATCTAATCATGAAGCATATCCCCTCAATCCCCTCCCTACAACTCTCCATGCCTGCTTGGTGGAAGGATCTCTCAATCCTAACTCAGCAGGATTTCATCATTGCTATTTATGATGAGCACTGTGTGATTCCAATTCTCCTCCTGCTCCCCACCTCCTCCTCTTTCTCCTTTCCCTTTCCTCCTTTTCTCTTCCTCCTCCTCTTCCTTTGCCTTCCTCTTCTTCTTCTATTTGGTTTCTGTTCATAATGGAAAAGTGAGAAAGAGAGAGACAGAGAATGTGTGTGTCTGTGTTTGTGTTCAGCTGTGGAGGTGGGTGACATGGTTTGGCTGTGTCCCCACCCAAATCTCATCTTGAATTGTAGTTCCCATAATCCTCATGTGTCATGGGAGGGACCCAGTGGGAGGTAATTGAATCATGGGGCCGGTTACCCCCATGCTGTTCTCATGAGATCTGATGGCTTTATAAGGGGCTTTTCCCCCTTTGCTCAACACTTCTTCCTGCCACTCTGTGAAGAAAGTGCCCTTCTTCCCCTTTGCCTTCTGCCATGATTGTAAGTTTCGTGAGGCCTTTCCAGCCATGCAGAACTGTGACTCAATCAAACCTCTTTTCTTTATAAATTAAACAGTCTTCAGTATTTCTTCATAGCCGTGTGAGAACGGACAGTGGGGTAGATACATTTTTCTCCTTAGGTCTTCAGATGCTACAGAGACATAAACAGGCATAGTGGAGAGAAGTGGGCATTGGTGATGGATTCTCAATCTAGGATTGGATGACATTTTTGTATTGGACCTAAAGTTATGTCCTCTTGGGAGAAGTCACTGAATTGAATAGGTGATAAGATTACTGAAGCAGATATTTGGTAGATGGTGGAAGAGACGACAGCTAATCATTGAACTATTTCCTCTTTTTCCTGAACCCGCAGCATTTCTTTCTGCCTTACCATGGTTAATCTGGCTGTGATCCAGAGTCATAGCTAAAGAGGCAATGGATTTATGGATTTTATGTTCAGTTTTAAGGTATTTAAGGCATTAAAACCTTGTAGTTATGTTCTTTAGTAAATTTATGAGAATTAAGATAAATATATAAAATAAGAAGGCTACATTTGGTAAGAATAATTAATATTTCAATGTTTCTTATATTATTTTTTAAAATATGCTTAAAATTTTTTCATAGATTTTCAAATACAGAAATTAAGATTGTGTAATTAATTTAGGCCTAAAGAAATGAACTTTAATATATTTTCAATTGCAACTATAAATAAATAATCAAATTTTACCAAGGCTAAAGATCAGTGATTTTAAATTACCTTAATTTATATCTATTTGAAATAACTTTTGTAATTACTAATATTGGGCATGCCTATTCTTTTATACCTGTTTATACTATTAATGTTACTTGGCTCTACGAAAGTGTAATACTTCTTTAAAAAGCATATTTTGTCTAAGTTGAATGAATGCCATCCTACTAAAACACTTTATTCATTTAAATGTAAGTAGATACAACATTAGTATAAAAACCAAGTATGGAGTAGTATGATCCAGTGATTCTTAAACTTTAGCAAGAATCCATATCATCTGGAGAGCTTTTAAAAAACAGATTGCTGAGCCCAAACTCAAGAGTTTTTAATTCAGTAGGTATGGGTAGGGCCTAAGAATTTGCACTTTTCCTAAGTTCTCCGCTGATAATGCTACTGCTGCTCTAGGCACCATGTTTTGAAGTCAGTGGTCTGTACCATTAATTAAATTCCCTTCCAGTGTGGATATTCACCACTTTTTCCATAGTCAAACTCTGTAGGTAACTTTCAGTTTACGTTTTTAGAAAATGTGTACGGTGCACAGGTTAACATTCTTCCCAAAATGTGCATGCGCTAGTGTCCAGAACCTGTGAATACATTATGTTACCTGGAAAAGGGCAATTAAGATTAGAGATGAAATTCAGATTGCTAATCAGTTGACTTTAAAATAAAGAGATTATCTTGGACTTTCCAGGTGGGCGTATTTTATTTGAAGAGACAATTACATTACATGGAGAAAAGGGAGGCGCAGTGGTCAAAGTCAAGAGAACTGTAAGGGCCGGGCGCGGTGGCTCATGCCTATAATCCCCGCACTTTGGGAGGCCCAGGTGGGCGTTTTGCGAGGTCAAGAGATCCAGACCATCCCGACAATATGGTGACACCCTATCTCTACCAAAAATACAAAAATTAGCTGGGCCTGGTGGCCTGCGCCTGTAGTCTCAGATACTCGGGAGGCTGAGGCAGGAGAATTGCTTGAACTCGGGAGGAAGAGGTGGCGGTGAGCCGAGATCGCACCACTGCACTCCAGCCTGGTGACAGAGTGAGACTCCATCTCGGGAAAAAAAAAAAACAAGAGAACTGTAAGATGTTATGATGCTGCTTTGATGGCAAAGGCAATGGCCACCAGCCAAGGAATGTAAGTGGCATCTAGAAGCTGGAAAAGGCAATTGTTCTTCCCTGGAGCTTCCAGAAATGATGGAGCCTGACCAACTCCTTGATTTTATCCCAGTGGAACCAATTATTGACTTTTGATCTCCTCCATGATAACAACGTAAATTTGTGTTGTTTTAAGCCACTAAGGTTTTGGTAATTAGTTACAGCAGCAAGATGTAACTCATACAATGTCTATGTACAAAAAATGTGGGTGTGTACACATATATTCATTCATTCATTTATTCATTTGCCAAAATTATTATTGAGCATTCACTAGGTTCTAGATTTATTTTTAGAATTTGAGATATATCACACAAAACAGAAATATATCCCTACTTTCACAGGATTAAAATTTTAGCAAAGGTATCAGTAAATAAATTTTAAGCATGTATTTATTTTAATAACTCGAAATCTATATATGTGTGTGTGCATATACAGATAAGCAGTTTATTGAACCCAAGTTATACACATTTTCTGCACTTTCATTTCACCTCTTAACAGTATATTCAACATTCAACAAATATTTATTAATTACTATTATTTATTGAAATCTCTACTTGTCTTATACTAAGTGCTATTGAGAAAATAATGAAAAAAAATTCAAGATACAATATTTCTTCCCTCAGAGAGCTCAATTCTAGTGGGAGAGATAAAAAGATTCATTATTCAAACATTACAATTTTGAGTGAAAGCCATGGTGGTAAATTTATCTTTTATTCTAACATAAGGCATCAGAGGGCTTTAACCAGAATAGTAATATTTAAATTTAAAAACAGCAGTCTATATTCCAACTACTGTATAACTAAAATGTATAGGCCAAGGAGAGAAACAATAATGGTGAGAGAATAATAATAGTGCAGGTAGTAAATTATCTTAACTTATACTATGGTGGTAGTTTGGAGGTAGAAGGAGCGGTCATATCTGGCATATATTTAGAAACCTGTCTGGTAGGATTTGGTGACATTTGACTGTGAAGTGGGAAAGAATAAGAGGAAATCAAAGATAATTTTCGAGGGTTTTGGTCAAGCTTACTGGGGGACAATATCAGTGATATTTAAGATAGAGAAGATAGGTCAGACTATGTAAGGGGAAGGATTGCAATTTCAATTTAACATACTAATTTTGAGACACAATTAAACATTCAAAGTGGGTATGTCTCAGAGTCTTTTATGTATATACGAATTTTGTACTTGACTCATTTTCATGTCAGGGTATATTTATAAAAGTAAAATATATGTTTATAAATATATTTTCTGTCATAAGTATGCATCTATTTAAATTCATAATGTACATATTTTATTTTATAAATATTTAAATGATCCATACAAATATATCAGATGTTATTCCATATTGGCATAATGGTCTACTCTGTTGTTGTTGTTGCTTGAAGAGTTTTGGCAGGTGCCTTTGGAGAAATAGACCATATTCTTTGAAATCAGGTCTTCATCAGAAAAATCTCTCTTTACAATTAAAGCATTTTGGATTAGTCTCCTATTGCTACTGTAACAAGTTATGACACACTTCATGGTTTACAACAACAGATTTTCTTTTTGCTGCACCTCTGAAGTCAGGAGTCTGAAATCAGCTTCACTGAGCTGAAATTAAGTTTCTACAAGGCTGATTCCTTCTAGAAGCTTTAGGGGAGAATCTGCTTCCTTGCCTTTTCAGCTTCTAGAAGCTGCCAAGCATTGCTCGGCTAGGTGCCCATCCCTTCATCTTCAAGTTAGCAGTGTGCCATTGGCAAAACTCTCTGATTTTCACTCCTGCCTCACTCTTTTGAGAACCGTCGTGACTTTTCTTATGTTGTTCCTATTAAAAGAAAGGAAGGAAGGAAAGGAGGTAGAGAGAGAAAGAGAAAGGAAAGGAAGGGAAAAGAGAGAAGAGGAAGGGAAAGCAGAGGGAAGGAAAAAGGGAAAAGGAAGTCAAAGGGAAAGGGAAAGAGAAGGGAAGGGGAAGGGGAAGGAAGGGAAGGGAAGGGAAGGGAAGGGGAAAGGAAAAAAAGGATAAAGGGAAAGGAAGGGAAAGGGAAGGAAAGGAAGGGGAAGGGAAGGGGAAAGGAAGGAAGGAAGGAAAAGAAAGAGGAAGGAAGGAAAGAAGGAAAAAGAGGAATAAACTTTTGGAAGTGATGCATATTTTATTACCTTGATTGTGATGATGGTTTCCTGGGTGTATGTATATACCCAAACTCATCAAAACAAATTTTTTTTAAAGAACTCTTACAATTATATTGAGCCCACTGAAATAATCTAGGATTATCTTTCTATCTCAAGATACTAAATTATTAACTGCAAACACCCTTTTACCATGTAAGGTAACATATTTACAGATTGTAACAATTGAGACATGGTCATCTTTAAGGGGCCCATATTCTGCCTACCACAAATTCCCAGCAGGTTTTCTCTGTGTATTGAACACCTTTTGGTTTCTTTTTTTTCCCTTTATATTCACAAATCTTATCACTCCATTTTGGGTTTGTGCCCACCATTCCACTGACTTGTTATCCTAAAATCCCTAGGGACTTTCTCTCACTAAATATAATTTTTAGAAGGTCAACAATCATTCTATTTGATTCCTTATTATCTAAAAGATATCATCACAGTTAACTATTTAAACAAATTCTTCTGCTATTTCCATAACACGACTGCCCCCGGGGAGGTGGCTTTTCCTTTTCTATTGCTGGATCTTTCTCTTCTCCCAATATCAACATATTCAATATTCTCAGGACTTGTTCTTGGACCCTTTTTAGTTGTTATCACATACTCTCTGAAGAAATATTGTCTATGGTCAATATTTAAATGCCTTTCTGGGAGATATATTGTCTGCCTCACTGCCATTCTTCCTTTTACCTTAAGCACTTTTCTTTTAAAAAAATAGATTTTAGCTTCTTTCATGAATGGATGGCCTTTTTCCAAACCAAAAGGTGGGTGAATTTTTATTAGCATAAAAGAAACATGATAATTCCAGTCTTCTTGGCACCAATTGCCTTGGTTACGGACACATAACCCAATTCTGGCAATGCAAAATGAGGGAAGTTTGCTTAAAAATTTCCTAATTAGGTTTCTTTTTTTCTTTAAAAAAGTCACATGGAAGGAGACTTCCCTACTTCTGTGTGAGCAAGCGGTGACCAGAGCTACAACCATCTCAAGAACTGGATTCTTGTGGATGTCATAGTAAATGGAAAAAAGAACCTCCATGGTGCCCCTGATTTAACTGCTCATACCTCCCCACTTTCGAAAGTCTTGTTATGGGAGACAATTTTCTTTCCTGTTTAAATTTTATTATTTGTGCCTAGAAGGATGATAAGCTGACAAAGATCATCCTTTTGATGAGTCCCATATCCATATCTTCAGATGTACAAAATCTTCAGAGAGGTAATGTGTAGATACTCATGATCATTGAGTGTGTTTCCAACAAAAGAAAGATTTTTCTAAGTACATGAGAACAAATGTCTTTGGAAGAAATAATCTTGAGCAGTGTTTCTCAAAATATCTGTGATAAGGCATTTTTTTTCCCAATTCTTTACAGTCTAATATTTTGGTAATGTATGAAATCACATGCTCAGAGATCATCAAAAGGTCAAATTGCATTGGAAGTTTCCACATGATCATTCTCAATTTCTGTCCATGTTCTGTCGCACTACAGCAACAGTCTACTGACTACATTTTCAGAGGCACTGACGTAGTGTGAGTCTCACATTCACAATGATAACTATGTGATTGGGAATTAAACTCTTTTTAAATTTCTGCCATAGTTTCGGAAATTTGTTGTTGTTTTCAAATTTTGTTTTATTTTTGTTTTGCCCAATACATTTATATTTTTCTTTAGAAATGCAGATTTTAATATGAACAAATATACATGAGTCCAAAGATTTGTATTTTTTAATCTCTTTCATAGCTGATGTGATATAAGCAAGTATTGTATTTTGTGGTTCCTATATGTACTTAGAATGTCTGCTGACTTTGTTATTTATTTTTCAGAAATATTTTATTAGAAGGGAGCTATACGTCATTTGCTCTAATTCCCAATGTGGAATTATGTCACAGTTCTTGGAATTAGCTCTAATTTACAGTTTATCTCTAAAGAAGCGAGTTTAAGAATGTTTATGCCATCATTGTTGCTCCAACAATGCCCTCAAATTCTCCCTTGTGCTATTTGATTTGTTTCAATAGTGCAGGTTAAATCTTACAGCTGTGCTAAGGCTGGTTAGCATGATGTTCCGGGACCTCTGGGTAACTGGCCTTTGTTCCGTTCAGCAGCTCTGGGTTCAGGAAAGCACTCAGACCAGACTGTGTTAATCTGGAGAGGTGGAGAGTGATAAGGGAGGGCCGCATTTGTGGCTACATGTTCTGTATTGTTTGGCCCTCCATAGTCATATACTAAGTTTATAAGGCTGAATTTATAAAGTACTTCCTGGTTCAGATGAGGATGAGGAACCCACATTCATTCTTGGGGTCTGATGCGAGTCTCACTCATTCAGACTCTGTCATCTGAATCTATGTAATCCTCGAGTGAGGATTTGGGAAAATGGGAAGCCTGTGCCGCCTTGTCGGCCAGAGGAGGTTACTGATCTCCCAAGGTTGTTGATCTCCTGGCTGTGGGGACTCACTAGACTGACTTGTGCCCGCATTCTTATTTGACTTACACAGGTGAATGATAGCTGACTTTTTTTTTTTTTTTGAGACAGAGTCTCACTCTGTCGCCCAGGCTGGAGTGCAGTGGCATGATCTTGGCTCACTGCAAGCTCCACCTTCCAGGTTCATGCCATTCTCCTGCCTCAGCCTCCAGAGAAGCTGGGACTACAGGCACCTGCCACCACGCCCAGCTAATTTTTTTGTATTTATTTATTTATTTATTTATTTTAGTAGAGTTGGGGTTTCACCGTGTTAGCCAGGATGGTCTCGATCTCCTGACCTCGTGATCCGCCCGCCTCAGCCTCCCAAAGCGCTGGGATTACAGGTGTGAGTGATAGCTGATTTTATGTGTCAACTTGACTGCATGCCAGGGTGCCCAGATTAAACATTATTTTCCAGTGTCTGTGAGAGTGTTTTCAAATGAATTCATCGTTTGAATTGGTGAACTCACTAAAGTAGATAGCCCTCCTCAATATGGGTGGGTGTCAGCGGGCATGTTGAAAGCCTGAATAGATCAAAAGACATAGGAAGGGCAAACTTGCCCCTTTTTCTTCTGCCTTCCTGCTTAAGATGAAATGATAGCCTTTCCCCTGGACTGGGATTTACACTGTCATCTCCCCTAGTTTTCAAGTGCTCAGACTCAGACTGGAATTATGCCATTGGCTTTCCTGATTCTCCAGTTTGAAGACAGTAAATGGTGGGACGTCTCAGCCTCCATAATCACGTGGGTCAATTTCTCATCATCTCTCTCTCAATCTCACTCTCTCTGTCTCCCTCTGTGTAAATATTACACATATAAAAATATATCTAGATATATGGATTTATAGATATCCTATTGGCTCTGTTTTTCTGGAGAATACTGACTAATGCAGATTTTGGCACTGAGAGTGGTTTTAGAAGAATAGAAGTTCAAAGATGAGTTTTCTGAATTTGTTCCTGGGTTTCTGAAATGGGTTCTTTAATCTGATTAGATTTCATGATAGAGACACACAAAATATCTACATATGTTACTCCTACTCAAACGCTTATATGAAATAAGGAGTTGACTGCCTCTGTATATGACATCTTTAACATTTCTGGAAAATTAATGAATGTAATAACATTGGCTGGTTGCTATTAATGTCCCTGGACAGAATAGTGCAAGAAAAGGATCAACTCAGGGATTTGATTTCCCAGCTTAAATAACCGGTGTGATTTCCCACCATATAAATAACCTAAGCTCTTCTATGTGTGTCCTGAAAGAGACCTTTATTTTCTGTAGCACAAGACTCAAATTGCTGAAAATTAAACACCAAATTTCATCTGTGATTGGCTGAATTAAAATGCAAGTTGAATTTCTAGCTTTGGAGGGTGCCTACTGTTAAAGTGAGCATCCTTTATGTTGATTAGGAAAACACACACACACACACACACACACACACACACACACACACACGACCTTGACAATTGGACTAAGGAAATGTGGGAAGACCTTGATAAAGTTGGGAACTGTTGAACCCTTAAATTCTAATGAGTCTTCTTTGCCAGGCCTCCCTACCTCCAGTGATACCAGCTTTTACATCCAGAGTGGTATCAGACATTCTGTTTTCATCTGAGGGATTAACCCTGCATTGCCTAAGGAAGTTGCCGTGCAAGACAACACTGATTCTCTTCAGGTCCCACTCCAACCACTCCTTTTTGCATGTCGATCTATAACTAGACTCAAGTCTCAGCAGGCCTCTTAAGATGAGATACAATGTGTGACACATAAAGAGGTGTGTTACACTACAAAAGAATTGCTTGAGTTTTCTAGTTTATACAGACAGAAATCCAGGAAACATGTTTGGGAACCAACACGAAGGGTGTAGGATCATGGTGGAAGGAGAACAGAGTTGAATCAGGCTGATTTATTGAAAGGAGGCTCAGTAAGTAGAGATTCTGCATTTAATGTTACAGATTGTGGAATTAGAAAAAGTGCTGACACAGAGGCTGGGTGTGGTGGCTTATACTGCTAATCCCAGAGACTTGGGAGGCCAGGAGTGGAAGATCATTGGAAGCCACGAGTGTGAGACTAGCCTGAGCAAAATAGGAAGACCTCATATCTACAAAAGATTTACAAAATTAGCTGGGCATGGTGGCGTGCACCTGTAGCCCTTGTTACTTGGGAGGCTGAGGTGAGAGGATGACTAAAGCCCAGAAGTTTCGAGGTTGCAGTGAGCTGTGATCATACCACAAAACAGATTTTAAGATTAGGATATTTTAGTAAAGCCATGCTGATAACTACTCTCCTATTGAGAAATGTCTCTTGACCCGCTTCTGAGTCTTAGTAGAGATTGGTACTTAACCATGGACCACAAAATTATTCATTATCAACTGGATATTATCTGGCACATTGAGCCATAAAGTTAGGTATGCACAGCAGCACTCCGCTATTAAGTGAAAGTGGTATGTATGTGATTGGGTCCAAGCAGGCCTTAGAAACTCAAAGAAATTACATAAAGAAGTGGTCCAAATGCCCATAGCTCCTTTTCCCCTGCTTCACTGCTTTCTCTCTCCCAGCCTGCACCCACGGCCTCCTGGGGACCTCCCTATGATCAGTTTACAGAGAAAGAAAAGACTTGGGACTGGCTTCCAGATGGCACTGCGTTATATGCAGTTCCCCAGCCGAAAGTGGACAGCTGCAACACCACAGCCCCTTGCTGGGACATCCCTAAATAACATGGATAAAGGGAAATACTCCCTGTATGCAAAAATACAAGGAGCGCAGCTGAGTGTTCACTTTACTTGGAAGGAGAAATGGCCAAATGTGGATAATTACCAATTGGTGGCCTGAGGCCAATCATTTGGCTGGATAGTCAGAGACTTGGAAGGAACATGATCAGAAAATTGTTGACAAGGAAATTTGGGGGAGAGACATGTGGATGGACAAAAAAACTGACTAGACGGAAAACACATAGATATTTGTGTCCCATGCAGTGACCTTAGCAGAGGTGGATTTTTAACAATAAAGTGACTAGGATGCCCAGTTCTGGGGATACCAGCCAGCCTCCTTCCATAGCCACCCAGGCATTGCACGGTGAGCTGATGAACAGTGTGGCCACTGTGGCAGGGATTAAGGTTTTTACATGGGCTCAGCAACACGGTCTTCCACTCTCCAAAGCTGACCTGGCTAAAGCTGCTACTGAGTGTCCAGTCTTCCAGCAGCAGAGACAAACACTGAGCCCCTGAAAAGGCATTACTCCCAGGGGCAATCAGCCAGCTCCCTGGAGGCAGGTTGGATACAATGAGCTTCTTCCATCATGGAATGTGCAATGCTTTGTCCTTACTGGCATAAACACATAAACACTTACTCTGGATGCAGATTTGCCTTCCCTGAATGCATTGCTTCTGTTGAAACTACTATCTGTGGACTTACAGAATGCCTCCTGCAAAATCAGAGTACTCCATCCAATATTGCTTCTGCCAGAGAACTCACAACACAGCAAAAGAGTATCAATGAAGCCATGCTCACAGAGTTCACTGGCCTTACCATATTCTTTACCAACCTGATAGAACAGTGCAATGGCCTTTTGAAGATTCAGTTACAGTGCCAGCTAGGTGACAATACTTTGCAGGGCTGGTGGAAGTTCTCCAGAAGGCTTCATACGCTCTGAATTAGTATCCGTTATATGTTACTATTTCTCCCATAGCCAAGATTCATTTGTCCAGAAACCAGGGAGTGCAAATGGGAGTGGTTCTACCCAGAATTATCTCTAGTACCCATGAACAAAATTTTTGCTTCCTGTTCCCATGCTATTATGGTCTGCTGGCCTAGAGGTCTTGTTTCTAGAGAAAGAAATATTTCCATCAAGAGACAGAGCAGTGATTCTATTAAACTAGAAGTTAAGATTATCTCCCAACCATATGGGCTCCTCATGCCTCTGAATCAACAGGCAAACAAGGGAGGTGTTGTTTTTGTTTGTTTGTTTGTTTGTGAGATGGAGTCTCGCTCTGTCATCCAGGCTGGAGTGCCGTGGCGTGATCTTGGCTCACTGCAACCTCTGCATCAAACAAGGGAGTTACTGTGATGGATGGGGTGAATGATCTGTAATTGTCATGAGTACTTCCTTATTTTCTGGAAATGGTTTTGTGTGTGTGTGTGTGGGTGTTTGTGTGTGTGTGTGTGTTTTCTCTCTTATTCCTTTACTTACGTTATCATCCAGTATTAGGTATATTGGCTTTACATCAGTATTTAAATACTGTTGATTTTACATCACAGAAATTAAGTACAGAATATAAAGGAGAGCAGTAAACATCACTCAAGTGCTTCATAACATCTTCTGGAGAAGACAGTGCATTTTCTGTTGTACATGGAACAAAGTATTAGGAGAAATTATGACCTGTTTATTGTCTTCATGTGAAGATTAAGTATAATTTAAGGAGATATTTATTGTTGCCAAGTTGACAAGGGCTGGATTTGTGACGTTTATCTGTCAATTTCACTGTGCCAGAGGGTGCCCACGTTAAACATTATTTCTTGCCATGTCTGTGAGGGTGTTTCTGGATGAGACTAGCATTTCAATTGGTGGACTCAGTAAAGCATATCGCGGTCTCCATTGCGGGTGGCCTCATCCAATTCACTGAGGGCCTGGATAGAAGAAAAGGCAGAGAAAGGATGAAGGATGAATTCATGACATTTTCTTCCCGCCTGTTGCTTAACCTACAAAATTGGTCTTCTCTTTCCCTTGAATTGGGATTTGCACTATTGGTTCCCCTGGTCCTCAGGCCTTCTGATTTGAGCTGGAATGCAGCACTGGCTTTCCTGGGTCTTTAGCTTGCAGGCAGCGTATCATAGACCATGATATTTCTCAGCCTCCCTTATCACACGAGCCAATTCCTCAGTTTATATATATGGTGTGTCTGTGTGTTTTTTGGCAGGCATCCTGTTGGTTCCGCTTCTCTGAAGAACTTGATCGTAGTGCAGTGATCATGGAGACTTGATAGTTTTATATATACTTATATGTGTATATATGCATTTGCACACAAATGTATCACATTTTTATTTATGCACTTTTGAAAAGTCATTTATTCTTCAAATTAGGCAAAGAAAATATGTTAGTACGCTTCCCATATAATTGCCGTATGATTCAAGTAACAGAACATCAATGCAGGATTTACTCGGTGGGTAGTCTTAGAAAAAGGAGACTTTGATCTGTAAACCAAAATTGTACTGTATTGTTCATTAAGTTATCTACTTAACAGATATATGTCAAGCAATAACCATCTGCCACATAGTGTGGAATGTAGAGAAATCCTAGGACTTATTGATTTAATTGTAGGAGAGTGAGGCATGATCTCTGATACATATAATGTGTAATATCATAGAAAGCATTTCTTAAAAAGGAAATTATTTAACATTATTTGTCAATAAATAGGGTTTTTGTTTTACGAAAAATTAATCTAAGTTTTTATAAATTCTCAATTTGTATTGAACACTACTTCATTACAAATATAATTGCTCTTTTGGCTTTTTTTTTTTAATCTTGCTTTTGAAATTTTTGTTACTGAAACTCATTTTGTTCTGAAATTAATCAGTGGGAATTTTGACCTTGTTGGTCCCATCTCCCTTAAATGATTACATCAACAGTCAACAGTTACTCTTACTAAGAATTAATCCTTCAGTCCTACCTTAAATTTTACTTATTTCAAGAAATCATCTTGACCATTCCTTCGTTTTTCCCCACATCATCTTAATTTACAGGGTATTTCTTTTTGTGACACACTTTATCGTTTGTTTTAAGCTGCTGCATAATTTCATTGTTAAAGTGTGACCCCAGCCAACAGAAAAAAATGGACTCCCCGTGGCTAGCTGAGGTGCTCGAAGTTAAACTGGATCAGGCAGCCATGACTGGATGAGGGAGCAGTCAAGTACTCTACATTCTCAAAAAGATGTTCTAAAAGTGTCACAGCACCTCCCTTTATACAACCAAGCCAAATCAGTTCCTGTTGTCAGTGCTGAAATAGACTGCAGCGGGAAATGCCCCTACTGACCATCAATGGGCAGCCTTGTGCCAACCCACCAACTACCTGAAACCAGCCAATTAAAAGAGACTGGCGATTTGGGGCTTAAAGGCTTAAAGATAATCTAATCAAGACTGTGGACCAGAGGCACAGTGGCTCATGCTTATTATCAAGCACTTTGGGAGTTCAAGGTGGGAGAATTGCTTGAGCCCAGGGGCTGGAGACCAGCCTGGGTAACATAGTGAAATCTCATCTCTCCAAAAAAAAAAAAAAAAAAAAAATGAAGAGGGAGGATCGCTTGAGCCCAAGAGGTCGAGGCTACAGTGAGCTGTGATTGTGCCACTGCACTCCAGCCTGGGTGACAGAGCAAGACCCTGCCTCAAAAACAAACAAACAAACAACAACAACAAGAAAACCCACCAAAAAACTCTCTTCCTCTCTCCTCTGATTCCCCGCCCTGCCCTACAGTTTTTGCCTTTCTAATCCCTAACTCTCCCTAACCCCTCCTTGGAGCACATTTTTGGCTTGTGCAGAAGGCTTTGTCTCCCTAGTCTGAAGATTGCTTATAGAAAATAAAGCTCTCTGGCTGGGCGCGGTGGCTCACGCCTGTAATCCCAGCACTTTGGGAGTCCTAGGCAGGTGGATCACGAGGTCAGGAGATCGAGACTATCCTGGCCAACATGGTGAAACCCTGTCTCTACTAAAAATACAAAAATTAGCTTGGTGTGGTGGCGTGTGCCTGTAATCCCAGCTACTGGGGGGCTGAGGCAGGAGAATTGCTTGAACCAGGGAGGCAGAGGTTGCAGTGAACGGAGATTGCGCCACTGCATTCTAGCCTGGTGACAAAGTGAGACTCTCTCCCCTACCCCACCCCACCCCCCAAAAAAGAAAAGAAATCTTTCCCTTTTTCTTCTGCAGATCTCATGGTCTTTTGTTAACGCTATGTGTTTCTCTCTCCAATACATTTATAGATTTCTTATTTCAAGTGCCTGGATTTTTTTTTTTAATATCCCACACCTGCCAAAAGGCGAAACACATAGCAAATGTTCAAAGAGTATTACAGGTTCTGAATGCACAGAGTTAAGATTCCCTTAGTCAACACTGAGGAATATTAACATTTGAAAGCTACATGGTCTCTTGAGTTGCAAGGATATAAAATGAGAGCTCTAGTGGTTTACCAAACCACATGTATTTATTCAGATGTGCTACATTAAGTTTGGTCTAAAGCTGCCTCTTTGCATATTTTAAAGGTTTCTCTGTATATAGTGAACTCTAATGTAACCGGATGTGTAAACAGGCTGTACATAGCCTTGTGCCAATCATCGAGTTTTAGCCAAAGGTGGCCAAGTGTTAAAGCCATCTTTAAATACGGCAAATGCCAGGCTGTAGTCAGTCTGGCTCTTTCTGAACTTCACTTCTATTTTCTGTATGTCACTTCCGTTTTTCTGTCCTAAATTTTCTTCTGCTATATGGTAGCACTAGAGCCTCTGACCCTATTCTGGTTCAGGGGCTGCCTGATTAGCAAATCATTCTTTGCTCAATTAAACTGTTAACTTTAATTTGTCCAATAAATTTGCTAATTTCCTCTTAACAATGCATTCACCTAAGATCAACTATTATGTATACGTCGGCATTTGTTATTTTTTTAACTTCTCAGAATTCAATTGAATCTTTAATTATTGATAATATTCAACAGGGAGATGGATTTTGTGATACATAAAAAACCGAATATTTTGAATTTATTGTGGAATCTCCTGAAAATGTCTGGACATAATCTTTATTCCAGTAGGTTAAAAAAATATTAAAAAGGAAGATTCCCTATTAAATGTAATTTATTTATTCTTTTTCAATTAACTAATATTCTGGTCTCATACAGACATAAATCAATTTCTAAAAACAAAACATTGAAAGTGGTTTGACTTCTAGGGTGTTCCCCCTGGTCCTAGGAAGGAAGAGATAATAGTTCACCAAATATCTGTTCGCCAATCAGTCAAAAAAGTAAGGTGCTCCCCCTGGTACTAATTAGGTTAATTCTAAAATGTGAAGGGTGAGTTGTGTTCTGGATTTTTATTTTAATTCTGTTGTAAAATATTCAGAAACTTTGACAGAATTTTTTATTGAGTGGGAGTGAGTAATTTCACTGAGTCTGTGCCCATTTTGAATGCATGAGGTGTTTAAGTTATAAAAATTGCAATCAGTGAGTTATCAATTAGTATGCTTTTAAGAAGTGAAATAACATAAAAATGGATATTTTATGAATTCAGCACATAAAAAAAAAGTTTACCCCTGACCTGAATTTCAACTAGAAAGATCTGATTAATTTGTTTTTATACTCTTTTGGTCATTAGAGCTGATAGCTTGCAATTTTCCTGTGGTTTCAAGTACTGTAGTTATTGGATTATGGTCTTGTGCATCAGAAAACCTGGGCTGTTATCATGAGAGCAGTGGGCAATATTCTCTCTACCTTTCCTATCAACTGCTGTCCAGGGCCACCCACTGGCCTCTCAAATGGCAAGCCGCAAATACCAGCACTCTGTTAGATGGAGCTACCACATCTAAGCATTGCCTTTGAGTCTTTTCTATATCCACTAACTATTCATCAGTTTGATTTCCCTTGACTCTTTGTCCTAGGTAGAGACATAAAAATACGTCTTACCCTGTACCTACTCTTTTATGTATAATAGCTACATCTCGTGGATGCACTAGAGAATATATCAGCTTCAACAGAGCTTGGAGGAGTCTTACTCTTTAGTCAGAAGTATTTATGTCACTCTAAAAAAATGCCTATGACCATCTATTCTTTAGGAGACTCAAAGCTCTGTCCAATTTACTTTTTTGACTGATTGGTGGACAGATATTTGGTAAACTATTATCTCTTCCTTCTTTCCTAGTTTACGAACCTAAATCACCTACTGATTTTTTTGTGTTGTAACTAAAGCATATCTAGGATGTTTTATATGAAAGCCATAGTGCTTTTATCACCTTATTTAAATGCAGTGAACTGGTAGAGAATAAACTAACAAACTCCAAAATCTATGCATTAAGATCATTAGTATCCATCCTATGTTTAGGCAACCAGAATACCCACTGTAATTTGTACATCTTAATATCTTTGGGAACATATCATGCATAGCCCTCTCCACTCAATATTGGCTAAAATCTTCAATTTGATTAATCTTTGTGTTTATTCGACATTGTAACATATTCAGCCAAAACTGAAAACATAGGATTTTGCTTCTCCTTTTACTCTCTAACAAATATGACCAATAAATGATACCAATACGGTCACATGTCACTTAACAATGGGGATGAGTTATGAGAAATGCGTCATTTGGCAGTTTTGTTGTGGGAACTTCATAGTGTGTACTTAGACAAACCTAGACAGTACAGCCTGCCACACACCTGGACTATATGGTACAGCCTGTTTCTGCTAGGCTACAATCCTCTATAGCATGTTACTGAGCTGAATACTGCAGAAAATTTGAACAAGATGATAAGTATTGGTGTATCTAAATATAGAAAAGATACAGTAAAGGTACTATATAAAAGATAAAAATAGTAGACCTGTATAGGGCAGCTTCTTTATAGTCTTTTGAAACACCAACATACATGAGGTCTGTTTATCAAGATGTTGCTCTGCGGCACATGACTGTTTATTGAGTAACCATCATGCATTAAGAACTGTTTTAGAGGCCATGAGAATCCACCCAGATCCCCTTCTTCCAGGTGCCATGAGCGTTGGGTAGTAAAAATTCACTGCCCACATTCTCAAGAGACTTGTGCTGGGAGATTGCAGACTCTGCTCTTCTATTGCTCCTGGACCAGGTAGCCAACCTAAGCCTATGATGTTCTGATGAGGCTGTTTAAAAAAAAAAAAATACAGGAAAGCAAGCCTTTCTCCCTTGCCCAGAGGCGCAGAGGTGGGTTGGGAGGGGCAGTTAATTCTGTGAGGATAATCTGTGGTCCAGAGCTGCCTATGGTTCAGGGGAAGGCTACACTTAGCCTGGGACCTGAGCCCGCACCTTTGCTCTATCCCTTCATCCAGCTGACCTTCCTCACCGTCTCACAGATTTTCCCTGAAGAAAGTGCACTTAATAAACCATGTGCTCCTGAATCATTGTTTCTGACTCTGTTCCTAGGGATCCACACCTGAGGGAGAAACTAGAATGCACAAAGTTAACATTGCCCATGACTGTAACTCATCTTAGCTCTCCCCCGCTTTTACGGATGAAGGTGGTTGTGTGTGTGGGGAAGCGGGCTCTGGAGAAGAAACCTGGGTTTGAATCTGGATTCTGACACTTACTGGGTGTACATATCAGCAAATGACTTAAGTCCACATGCCTCAGTTTCTTCGGTTGTAAAATGGGGGTAAAATAGTGTAATTATTCTGTGGAAGTTACATGTATTACTGTATGTTAGAATGTGATTAGAATAGTACTTGGCACAGAAAATGCTATGTGTTATTTGACATCGTAATTGTGTTAATAAAGGCCGGGAGAGGTTAATTAAATTGCCTCAGGTTACACAGATAATGAGTAGGAAATTTTTTTCTCAAGCTACATTAAGCTTCCTTTCAGATCCTTTTCTTTCCATTCACTACTATATTTAAGAATTGAAGCTTTCTTCAGATTATTTCCTTTCTGTTTGTCTTGCTTATTCATATTTGCCTTCAAATCTCTCCAGTTAGGATCATACATTCCACTGGAAGTAAACTGTTTCTAGTACAACTATAGCAAAACACCCACCCTCTTTGGAAACCTGACCCATACCTGGAGCAGATTATATGAAATTACAAAGCTTAGGCTTTAGGGACCCTTGCAGGAACCCTTCCTGGGAAGGCCTTGGGGTTCTCCTATTCATAATTGTGGATGATTATTCTTAAAGAGTCCACTCCCCCATTATATAAGCTTCAGCAGTCACAAAATCTGTGTACACACCTGGTAGACAATATTATTACAGAAGAGCCTATTGAAGGCTGGTTGTTTTCATGCAGTTATTGATTTACTACTGCTTAATATCATCCACTCATTGCAGGAAACTCACCCAGTGTTATGTCAGGTGGCTGCCCCCTCTGAAGCTCTTGCTGTATTTCTGTCTGTATTTCACTGATTTTTAAAAAGCTGCAACCATTTATTTATTGGTGGCTTACTAGCTGTGTGTCAGAGTGTGCTGGACACCAGAGGATATGATAATGACCATAAGTCATCTCAAAGTGTGGAGGAACACAAATAAAGGATGACAATGGTGAGATCTATTTAATAATAAAGTTATTTCCAGGAAACAGTGAGAGCATGGGGGGAAGTCTGTGTAAATCATTTGGATACAGGAAAGGATGTACAGAAGTGGAGGGAGCACACCGAGGAAGCTTGAGTTGGTGGAAAATGAGATAACATTTTGTAATGATCAAATTGAGATAACTGAGGGCATTCATCACCTCAAGCATTTATAATTTCCTTGTGTTAGGAACATTCCAACTCCACTGTTTTAGTTATTTTGAAATCTACAATAAATTATGTTTGTGCTACAGAACACTAGATCTAATTCCTTCGTACTGTTTTTTGTACCCATTAACCATCCCCACTTTATTCCTGCTTCCCACTGCCCTTAATGTTTTGTTTACATAATTGTGAAAATAATCAAGCTGAGGACCAGAAATTCCCTGTTGACTATTTAAGTGATTGTTCCATATTTATGAATTAAAATTAATCATACTTGAATTATTTTTAAAATAATACAATAGAAATTCCTCCATAAAAGGAAATGTCTGTTCTACTATTCTACTAGAGGACATGATTGATTTTTATATATCAGCTGCATAGATAATCTATGCAGTTCAAATCTATAGGTTTATAATCTGTGCAGCTTTGGAACCATTTGAGAGGGTAAAACCCACAATTAGTTTTCTTTTTTTTTTTTTTTTTTTTTTGAGATGAAGTCTCACTCTGTTGCCCAGGCTGAAGAGCAATGGTGGGATCTCAGCTCACTGAAACCTCCGCCTCCTGGGTTCAAGTGATTCTCCTGCCTTAGCCTCCCAAGTAGCTGGGATTACAGGCACCTGCCACTGTGCCTGGCTAAGTTTTGTGTTTTTAGTACAGAAGAGGTTTCGCCATGTTGGCCAGGCTGGTCTCAAACTCCTGACCTCAGGTGATCTGCCCTTGGCCTCCCAAAGTGCTGGGATTACAGGTGTGAGCCACTGCGCCCGGCCAATTAGTTTTTATTCTTAACACACTAACGTTGTAATGCGCTTAGCAAATAAGTGCTAAGTTACTGTAATAATGTAACAAGAAGTTGAATTTATTTTAAAAGTAAAATACTGAAATGGGATAGTTCCCTTGACCCTTTTGTGGGACTCGTGAAGGGGTTTGTCTCATTTACTCAGCTTGCAGCTCTCAACCCCTGTGGGAAGGGGACCACTCAGGTGATTGGGTGTAGAGGCCGGGACAAGAGCTTCTGCGCAACCAGCAGAAGCAGAACTCTGTGTGGGCCCATGGAAGCATCTAGGGGTTTCCCATGACCCTCAGAGTCTCAGAGGGCATGTGTTACACTGTGTTCTTTTAGCTTTGCCATCCATAGTTGGCTTAAGTGCTAAACAGCTCTGTGGAGGGTCAGTGTGACAATTTCTTGCACCTGCACCTGGGTCCTTGTCTGGTGTCCAGGAAGAATCAGGTTACGTGCATGAATTGAAGGGTGGTGGATGTGGAGGATTTTATTGAGTGGTGGAAGTGGCTCTCAGTGGGGTGGGGAGCTGGAAATGGGATGGAGTGGAAAAGTGGTCTTCCCTTGGAGTTCAGCTCTCCCTGGCCAAACTCTTCCTGAGGTCCCACCATCAAGCCATTTCTCTGTAGTAAAGGTGATTCTCTTTGACTTCTGGCTGTTCTTCTCTCCTTCTCTGCTGCTGTGCCACTCTGCCACTCTTCCAGTGGAGCCTGGGGTTTTTTTGGGTACAGGATGGGGGGTGGGGCAGGTGAGGGTGATTTTGAAAAAGGCAACATTTGGGCAGGAAAACAGGAATGCATGTTTTCACTTTAGGTCACAGGTCCAGGTTTGAGGGTGTGGCCCTTGCCAGGGATAGCCCTCTTCTACCCAATATTTCCCTGTCTCCTGTCCATGTCAATACCATTTTTAATACACACACATGTGTGTATCTAGTCTATTTAGATCTGCTACATAATAACTAGAAGTAAATATTCTCCTCCTAAACTACATATATTAGTTTTATCTTTTCATGAAATGCATAAAATGAAAGGATACTGCCACTTTCTCTTTAAATAAATCATATTTTTTTCATACTTTATTCTCTATTATTTTTGATGACTTTTATTTTATAGCATGCTGCTATTAACTTCCTTCTTCCATGTCTTTGCCAGTTGCAAATTCTTATGTTTTACATGATGGGACACATGTAATAGGAGCATAATGAAGGCAGCTAAATGCTGAACAATAGAAGAAGCATAGTCATATATATATGTGTGTGTGTGTGTGTGTGTGTGTGTGTACGTGTATTTCATATATATTCTCCCACTGATATGTATTACACATATTTACATTTATTTATTTGTTTCATCTGAGAACACACTAAACACCGTTATCTTTCCATTAAGAAATTAGAAATAATTACATGAATTATAGAATTACACTTGGACTGGTGAGAAGACTTCAAGGAATCAAAGAGATCAGCCTTGGAGTAAATTTAATAATACTTTCCAGTCTTGATAATACATCATTCATTCATAGATACATCTCTTAGCTATGTTGAAGTAAACAATTTTTTTTTTTAATACTCAGATTAGAACAAACAACTGGCATTGACCTTCAAAGTAGCACTCTGAAGAAACAGGACTGGAGGAATTCACAGTAATTTGAGCCTTGTCCCTCTTCAAGCTCCAGAAAGAAATATACTGTGTTTAATTGAAGTAGAAAAGGAATATCAGGCTTTGTTTGATCAGGACATATAGTATTTATGTCCTGGCTAATTTCAGACACTGGACTAGTTTACAAAAAGTAGGTACAAGACAGAGAGATTAAATTTGATCATTATTCTTATTTTGTTGTTTGGGGATGTTAGTTATAACTTCTTAAATGTGATTTAGGCTGAATTGGGAATTTCTTCCATGTATCTATGCAAAGATCCTTTTGTATTTTTGACAAAAAAAATTTATAGGAAGGATTTTAAAATATATTTAGACTAGATACCATATCTATTGAGTGAAACATCACCAAACTAATGCTTTTTTAATATTATGCTTGGGAGTACATTGTTGCCTCTTTGTGTAAATATGACATCCAAAAGAGGGAGTTACACATCTGTTTTATTCCCTGTAATAAAGGTGATTTCTGGGAATTGTTTGCTAAATAAATCCACAATAAGATGTACATCATTTTTATTGATGACATGGGAGATGTCATTTATAAAGCTTAGGTACATCATTTTCTTATTTGGAAAATATAAACTTGTTTGATGCATGGAAAAAAAGCAAGAAAGACACAGACTCTTGAGATTTATATAGAATTGGAAGTAGATTTTAAAATGATCGCAAAAACTGTTTTTAAATTTTTTTTTTTTTTTTGAGCCAAAGTCTCGCTCTGTCACTCTGGCTGGAGTGGAGTGTTGGAATCCCAGCTCATTGCAACCTCTGCCTCCCAGGGTTCAAGTGATTCTCCTGACTCAGCCTCCTGAGTAGCTGAGATGACAGGCACATGCCACCATGCCCAGACAATTTTTGTATTTTTAGTAGAGGTGGGGTTTCACCATGTTGGTCAGGCTGGTCTCGAACTCCTGACCTTGTGATCTGACCGCCTCGGCCTCCCAAAGTGTTGAGATTACAGGTGTGAGCCACCGTGCCCAGCCTAAAAAAAGTTTAACTGTATCTATCTAAAAGATAAATATCTAGATCTTTTCAATGGAGAGAGTAACTCCATCAGCCCAATTAAGACACCAGAGCCGGAATCCTATCTAGTTATATAGAAGTCTGTGAAACAAAAATAATATTTGTCTGCCATTGCCTCACTTGTGTGCCCCATGCTTTAAAAACAAATGATCCTGAAGTCACAAATTGGTGATCAAAAATATTATCATGTTTTGTATTTCTGAAAGCTAATATCTTAAGTTTAAAAATATAACTTTAAAGCGTAGTGTGGTGGTGAAAACTTTTCCCTCAGGTAGTGCGACTTTCTACACATCCTGGTGAGATTAATACTCAACGTATCACAATAAATTAATAATTTAGTGGTAAATTTCCAAAGCAAGTTCAAGAGTGTTACTATCCAACTGACAAATATTAGCTTTCCACTTTTCCCTAAATATCAATTTTATCTAAAAACTAATACAGGTATGATGACGGAAATGTGGATTTGATTTTACAATAAGTGTGACCAAAATCTTCTAGTTATAAGAGTCAGATAATTTAAAAAAAAAAAAAAAAAAACTAAAATAAGCAACAGGGCTCCCTTGGCAACCACCAAATTGTTTAATTCTCAATCTTGTTACTTTTTAAATAGGGTTCCTACCTTTAAGATAAAATATAAGTAATGTACTAGATCACCTCCATCATCACTTGTAGTATCTCCTCAATGCCCTGAGATTTAAAAAAATTTACTTATTTATTTTTTTAGTTTGCTTAGCTAGGTAATGTAGTCCTGAGACTGGAAAAATATTTTCTGATATTAATGTGAGTTCTAGAGGGTTGGAAATTTGGAAATGCTTATATACAATCTATTTACTGTTGGGTGCTATTCATTTATTTAAGGATAAAACCAGAATTCATTCTGGTTCATTCATTTAAAGGAAAAATGATACTCGAATAATCTCTTATAATTTTATTTTCATTTTTTACATTGTTCTTTTCTTAAATTCACCAAGGTTCGCTTTCTAGAATCATTAGTCTTAGCCACTTAATCAGTGAGCCACAGATTCCCAGTGCCCAAAGATTTCTTAAAGCATGATTAACTATTTTAGTCAGTTAGAGTGTTAATTTTTTAGATTGTAATCTAATGGTATAAAAATTGGGTTTTTGTTGGATAATAAGACATTTGTCTAAGGAAATATTTTCTTAATGCTGGTAATAGGTCCAGATGCTATTTTTAAAATTTAGCTCACTTTTTTAAAGAACACATACGTTAAATTGTTTAAAGGAAATGCTGAATTCAAATAGTCAATACATTTTTGGTTGTTCTCTGTAAACCAAACCCTGTGCTTACCAATTTAAAATTCTAGTGCTTTAATTTATATTTGCAATATAATATTCAATTTATATTGAATTTATTTAGTCAATACATTATTAAATGTAGGGATATAATACTTAAAAGTTTAGCAAAACTAGGTACCATAGCAATAGGAAACTTTACTACCATTTTCCAAATATTCATAATTATATTGCACATTTATTTTTACATAACTTTCATTTAAAAAAATGTTTTTTCATATAATTTCATGTATTATTTGGCAAAACTAGATCAAGAAAAACAGTTCATTCCTAACCTCATATTACAATAAAAGTGCCATGGTTAATGTTCTGTATTTTCAGAAGATTTCAACACTACTGTAAAATTTGAAAGGAAGTGTCCATGTTTAATTAAAGTATAATCAAGATTCACAAAGGCACTCATAAATAATTCTTAGTAGCAAAGGCAAGATTGACACATTTGTGAACAGGTGTTTTATTTGATTACACACATTAGTTAGGTCAAAAATATTCCAAGCTTCTTTAGCAGTTTTGAGAATTCACAATGTGCTTGGTGCTAAAAAAAACTAATTCTGACTTCAAAGTCTCTTATCTGGGATGACACTGTATCCCCAAGTAGGATATTCCCCTGCTCCATGAGGATCGGTTTTGAGTTGAGTTTGTTTCTCCTGGTCTGGTCCCATATCCATCTGAGATATTCCTTGGCCTCTACAGGCTATAACTGATGGTCTTTTGTTCAACTTCTATGATCTGGATTATTATCCTAACATTTAAATTCAATTACATTTGATTGGTATATATAAAAATGGTTAGCAAAATATAAAACTTATGAAGGTATTCATTGTATAGAAGAAATATTATTGTGTTAGAAAGTATTTATTACATTTTTATGATTATACCGTATCATTAGGTATGACAGAATCCAGCCTTATTTTAAACTGTGGCTTCTGAATGTAATAAAAATTTGGTTTGTGAGTAGTTCTCACTAAGGAATTTAACTGTGCTATTTGTAGCTGGTTTTATTTTTGCTATGTCTTCCTTCTACTTTCTGCAGTAATTTAAAGTAAAGTATTACTGGGTCTATTTCTCTGGGGGAATAGCTGTCAACTGGCAGACAACCAGAAACTAACAATTGTTGAAAAGCCTACTACGTGCGAGGTATTTTGTTATATCATTTCATTATTAATGTGACTTGCAGAGACAGACACTCCTAGTACTTGTTATAGATGAAAAACAAACAAACAACAACAACAGCAACAACAAAAAACAGAAGCTCAATGACAATGAGTAACTTAACCCATGTCACCAAATCAAGCATTTAAGAAATGAGGATTTGAGTTTCTCTTTGCCTGATCCTAAATAGCACAGTGTTTCCATAATACTCTCTTAAGTAACCTTATACACCTGGTTATCCTGACATTCCTCCTATGGCAGGCAGGCACTGACTTGTCTAAGGATAAATAAGACTGTGAATTGTTCAGGATAAGCCTGTTAATATAATCCTACCAAAAATGGCTTGCATTTGAAGGCATTGCTTATATGTTTTATACTTGTTTTAACTTTTCATATCTTCAATGAATTTATTCATATGTAGAGCTTCCCTTAAAAAGAAATATTTTCAAAAAATAAGCAAAAAATCTGTTTAAAATGTAATTTTAAAAGAGGAAAACAGTAAAGAATAAAAAAACTCAAAGTACGTTCAGTGATTGAAGTTAAAATTGTTCTGCCTATAAAATTGTTTTATAAACAATTATTATTGCATACACTGTAGTAAGTAGATTACGAGCATTAACTCCATTTGATCATTGCAACAAGCGTATATGTTAGATATCATTACGTTTGTTTCATTGATGAGCAAACTGAGGCACAGAGCAAAATTGAGGCAATTTATTCAAGGTAGCACTTCTGCTATCGACAGAATCGGGTTTTAAACCAAACAGTCTAGCTTCAGAGCCTATGATCCTTCTAATTATTGTTATTATTAATGGCTTATACTTGAGAACTTACTTTGTGCCAAATATTGTTTTAAGCATCCTTCTATTTCATAAAATTCTTGCAGCTATGCCACAAATATGTACTGTTTTTATTTCCAGTTTCAAGGTGAGGAGACCAAACCTTACACAAAGGAAATCATCTAATAAGGGTAACACAGACTGTCGGTTGCAGAGCTCAGATGAAAATCCAAAACTATTTGACTCTCCTTTTAAGGAATTTGATATAATGAAGTTGCCAACTTGGCCTAAACACCATTCTTCTTCTTTATCTGTTCAGATTTCTTTCTGACAAACTTTCAGATCCATCTACTATTTTTCTCAGTATTTTGCTGAGGCCTTTATCTATCTTGTCTTTTTTTGTTTGTCTGTTTTTACTTTGCTGGGTGATTTTTTTCTACATAAAAATGATGCCAACTTAAAGAGTTCACATTTGAACCTGAAATATATTTGGGCTTTCCAACTGCTTTCTGTACATCTCTATTTGAATTTCCCAAAGACACCTCAAAGTCTAACATCTAACTCATAATCGAGCCTTCCCCTCTTAACTTACCCTTCCTCTTGTTTTCCCTCTCTTAGAGAATGGTACTATTCTCCATCCAATTGACCCAACAGAAACATTGGCAACACGTTTGGCTCTCCTCTAGCCCCTTGGTTCACTTGAACACTGAAGCTTATTAAATTTACCTCTTATTCGTTATATTGCTTTTAAGATAAAACCTGGACATTTTCATGCAGTTAATATGGCCCATTTAAGTCAACCCGTTTGTCCTTCCAGCTTTATGTTCACCATTTCCAGTGGCTGGAACTAGGGTGAGATAAGTGAAGTGCTGTCTTCTGGTGCAAAACTTAAGGGATCACAAAACACTTAGCAATCAAGATAAAGCAGATGTTAATGCAAAGGTTTGGAAATTAAAAAGCAATGCCCAAATAATCCCTAATGAACAAATATCAAATTTTAAAAAATGGCAAAATCCAACCAGGTCAGGATTAGGGCAAAGTGGTAGATTATTTGCGAAAAATATAGAATTTAAAAATGCATATCGATTTCATGGAAATTCACATTCTGTGATTTATTTAGGTGTCTTTCCTATTGTGATGCTAGAGATACAAGTAAGGTAATTAATAACTTAGTTACTTGAGAAATACAGAATATATATATTATTTTAAACTTGAGGAAAGAAAATAATATTTGACAGAAAAATTGACTTTATTTCATAGTCCTCTGTGGTAAGTGACAGAAAATATCAAGTTCTCTAAGCTTCAAATTTCTCATCTCTAAAATAAACTATAACATAAACCATTGATTTTGAAATAATGTTTGCATAATGCTTACTATGTGTCTGCAAATGTTTTAACTCCTTTGCAATCAATAACTTGCTTTATCCTCAATGACTTCATTTTACAGATAGAAAAACCGAGGTTTAGAGAGGTCAATGCATTCTCTAGGCCAGGTGCAGTGTCTAACGCTTGTAATCTCAGTATTTTGGGAGGCCGAGGCAAGTGGATCGCTTCAGCCCAGGATTTTGAAACCAACCTGGGCAGCATGATGGAATCCTGTTGCTTATAAAAAATGCAAAAATTTAGCTGGGTATGGTGGTGCCCACCTGTAGTCCTAGGTACTCAGAAGGCTGAGTGGGAAGTTCCACTGAGCCAGGGAAGCTGAGGCTGTAGTGAGCCACGATCCTGCCACTGCACACTCTAGCCTGAGCAAGAGAGTGAGAACCTGTCTTGGAAAAAAAAAAATGTCTCTAAAGTTCCAATTTACTTAAAATTGATAACATATTCCCCATCCAAATTCTCTCAGCTAGATAATGCCAGAGCTAGAATGTGAACCTAAGAAATCAGGTTCCAATATGCAAGGCCTGAACAGGCACACAGAACTGCTTCTCATGGATCTATGGTGATCAGACGAGGGCATGTACCAAAGTTCTGTCCTCTTATTACCTTCTTTAGTTCTCCTACAAATAGTATTTAGGCTACTGTATTTTATTTGCAGTATTACTTCACCTCTCTACTGATCAGATAACCTACTCATTTAAATGCAATCTTCCTATTTAATTGTTCACAGGTAAATGTAATTAATATTATTCATATTTAAATTTAAGAATAAATTTATATCTCTTATTTATTCAAATACTCTCTGTGACACATGTTATTCAATAAATACATAAGATGAAAAAGAGTCATCGGCCAGGCAAGGTGGCTCATGCCTGTAATCCCAGCACTTTGGGAGGCCGAGGCGGGTGAATCACCTGAGGTCGGGAGTTGGAGACCAGCTTGACCAACACGGAGAAACCCTGTCTCTACTAAAAATACAAAATTAGCTGGGCATTGTGGCGCATGCCTGTAATCCCAGCTACTCGGGAGACTGAGGCAGGAGAATCGCTTGAACCTGGGAGGTGGAGGTTGCAGTGAGCCAAAATTGCACCATTGCACTCCAGCCTGGGCAACAAGAGCGAAACTCAGTCTAAAAAATAAAAAAGAGTAATCAATATTTGATCTTAAATTTATATACAAAGCAGACTGTTGTTTAAATTTTGTATCTCTTTTGAGAATATTATATGATACATTTTCTGAAAGGATTTATACCAGTTAATTGCAGATATATCTGACTGATGATATAATGGGCAACTTTTGTTGCTTTTCACATTTTCTTTTTCTATCATTTTGATTTTTAACTGGTAAACATGCTACTTCTATAATAATATAATAAATGATATACTGTATTTAAATTTTGAATTCATTATTCTTACACTAGAATATTCTAAAAAAGGACTGACTGTCAAATAACTCATGTAAAGAAAGACATTGCCCAAAATATGTATTATTTGCTGAAACATTTTTATAAATAACTTCAGATGTAGTATTTATCCAAAGAATATCGTCTTTTATCACAGATTAAATATTTAGAGAGAAATAAATAATATAACTAAAAATACCTTGTTCTAATATATTGAATTATTTTATATTTACTATTATCCACTGAACTTGCTTTATTTTCACTGATTAAAAAATATTGTTTCTTATAAATAGTAAATTTCATTTCCCTCCTAATGATCATATTTTGTTATTTCATCTTCCTTTCTTACCCTTCTCAAATCACAGTCTACATCTAAATTAATCTTTTCTGAACTCTTTTGTAAAAGGCATACCACTGTTATAACTTCTCCCCCTACCCCTGCCCAGAGAGTTAACAGATGGTTGAGAGCACATTGGGGAAAGAATTCTAACTTGAAGAGTGACCCCACTGTTAAATGCTGTGTTACTTAGCTTAAAATATGTATGTGTACTTAATTTTTTTCAATCAATAATGGAGTTTGTAAAGATAACAAAACTCGGAATAATCCAGTTTTGAGTGCTTCATCAAGCTCAGCAGTTTGTGACCTTACATTTCTGCCTCATTTTCCAGAAAATGTTCCTAGTACATTTCAACAGTGTTTCGATGTCCAATATCCCGTTCTCAAATGAGACAAACATTTTCAGATGATGGAAATATCATCTACTAGAAGGATAAAAACCAATGCCTTAAAATCACTTTTAAATGCAGCTGTATCCTTTACCCCCAACAGCCATGGGTCTGAGATAAAGGATCTTGCAGACCATTAAGTTTCATGTCTTTTCTCTGATTCAGCACAAATTCCTCAGCACAGGTGTTTCTGTAATTATGATACATTGGGAAATTCTCTGTGTTCAATGGCCCTCAGACTCACACTTCCACCTCATCAGTCACATGTCAGCCTAACTCCACCCTGTGCCCTAAATCGCTGGTGTCATTAAGAAGCTGCAAACTTCAGATGGCAGATTTGCAGCTGTGATGTATAATACAGAATATTTCATGAAAAATGTATGAGTAGAGATTTTTTTCTAATATTTCCTCTGTAGTGATCTGCCAGAACCATAACCATCTAGACATGTTTATTATACAGATTTTTTTAAAAGAGGCTTTCATTGCTCTTTGCGATGTGATGTTCCCTTGTTATTTCATAAACACTCCATTGATATTCTTTCTGCAACAAAGTGCTCTAACCTCAGGAACACAGCTGCTTCTTTCCAGTGAAATCTGTATTTTCAATCATAGAGACAGCTTCACCTTGATTTAACTGTAGTCTTTGGTATACTTTCTGATTTGCTAATCAAAACCAAGTAGTATATATTTAGTTAAGTGATTGAAATTCTGTAACAAATATTGGAAGCGTAGATAACCAGACAATTCTTAAAACCCATGTTAGTGAAGAATATGATAGTGCTTGAGTCACTGGACTCCATAATGAAATAACAAATATATATGAAATATTTAGCATTCTGGCTCTTTTCTCTGAAGTCCAATAGCATTCAGAGCCCTTGATGATTGACTTCTACTATCTTGTTTTACTATTTATTCTTTCATATATATTTACAAGCTCATCTAATCTCTTTGGGGGAAATAAACAAGCATATTATTTATGCCCCTTATGCTTTGCAAATGCTATGGTAGGTACTAAAATGTTTCCTCCCTCCCTCCCTTCCTTCTTTCTTTCCTTTCTTTTCTTTCATCTTTCTTACATGAATTTATTAACTACCTCTTCAGAACCCCAGTGAGTCAGGCACTGTGCACAGGGTAATTATCCTAATAATACAATGGTTTGAGAAGCTTTGTAACTCTATGTCACCTCTGTATTTACTGTGGACATCTGAGATTACTACGCAGATCCAAACATATTTGCAATCCCTTAAAAGAGAAATACACATACACACGGCAGACAACTCCGATATGGTCATAAAAGCTCACCACTGATATCAAAAATATGTCCAATAAGTGAGAAAATGTATTTCAAGTTATACACAACTGGTGGCTAACTGCATGATAAGTAGTAATAAGCAACATTTATTTTTGTTTCTTTTTATTTAGATTTTTCTTTTTTGGAACAGAAGCACATAATCTGTGAGTAGCTTTGATGGTGAGAATTGAGAGTAAATATCACACACAGAAAAATACAAATGCTTTATTTAAGGCAGATTCAAATCTATTCTAATTCACCTCCTATGGCAGACAGCATCATGACTCTCACACAGAATTTTAAGAAAAGTCTAACCGGTTCAGAAGAGTAATACTTAAGAGGTCAATTGAGCCATATTGTGCTTGACTAGGCACAGTAAACAAATAAGCAAACAAACAACAACAACAAAAAAGAACATAATTTACAAGAAAAAGTAATGGCTAGTGCTCTTATTTTTTTAAATACTGACTTTTTAGATAAAAATTTTGATAAAATTAGAGTCAGAGAAGTGACATCTTAGCATATATAATGGATATTATGAAATAAGATTTTGGCAATGATTATAGCATATTGATTCATTGTGAAAGAGTTATAAAAAGGACTATGTTTATGGATATCTTGCCTTATTGCAGTCAACATTTGGATTGAAAAATGTTAAATCACGTTTTTCATGTGCCTGAATTCAATCATAACGGATGCATAGAATCACTTTTGCTGAATGTCACCATCAGTTTAAATAACAATATAATATAAAAAACAGTGAAGAATGCTGGAGCTGTTTTATTTTGATTTCTGTTCCTGGGGCTCCTATTTCTTGGGCTTGTAGTATGCTCCAAGCCTTGTGCTCAGTGCTTTTCATGCCTCACCATCTTGAATCCTTTAATAAATCTATGAGATGGAATTTTTTATCCCAATTTTACGTGGAATCTCACAAAAACTGACATTTAGAGTTGTTTATTTTACCACACAATTTTCTTTATTGGCAAACTTGTGAGAAATTCTTCCATGGCCATAGTACCAGCAATAGGTATATTTGTCTTAGGAATCGGTATGTTTTTAATGATTAGCTATTTGTGTGAGAGGTTCAGTGTTTGTTGCATAGTTGTTAAAATGAGTGGAGCCAACACTGAAACAGTGTACCTATTATTTCAGAATTCCTATTTATTTTCATTTCATCTGAATATTCAGTCTCCATTTCAGCAAGTTCTTCAACTTACTTTTCTCCATTATTTTTACTTTAAGCTAGCTTTAAGGTATAACACAGTGTAACAAGGTAAACAAATGCATCTTATCCGATTTCATAAGTAAATGTATGAATATCAGATTTCTTTAGTGGCCTGAGTGGCCTTTTCTACTGTCTGGAAGGAGACTCTATTTAAAGTCTAAGCATTTAAAGACAAAGTATTGTGATTTAAATTAGCTTCACTTCCTCTGTGGTACGGTGAGTCAGCATTTTCCCTTCCTGGGTCTGATCACTCCCTGAGTAGGTAAGAGAAAGAAATATCTAAAAGGCCTAGGAATGTGGCAAACAATATAGCCTGTAAAACAGTGATTTCTTTGTACCGTCGGGACCACTGCTATGAAAACCGGCCTTAGAGGAAAAATGAGTTATTGTACTTTTACCTTAATCCACATCTTATTTTTGCTGAATTTGTCTTGACCCTTACTCTCCGGCATCCTAGCTCTATGATCTTGCTCAAGTTATTTCACCATTCTGGGCCTCAGATTTCTCTCTGGACGATGAAGAATAGTAGTACCTCATCACAGAGCTGCTGTCAGGACTAACAGGAGAAATCCCATATAATGTACCTAGAATATAGAAACCAGTCACTAAACGTAAGTGGTTGTCATCTTTATTGCTACTGCTATAATTATTAAGGAGTCTAGAGTTGTACCCCATCTTTAAAGGCATGATGGTGGATTTGTTCTCACTCTTCTGAGAGACAGCAGGTTTTCAGGAAGTCTGGGGGGAACACTTTCAGTATTCCTAATCAAGTTTCTATAAGGATACTATTTTGTTTTTAAACAATGAATTATAAATATTTGATTTATAAGGGCATTTATGCAAATCATGGAATTAGATACTCACTATGTACTGTTTGGCTGACTACACTGGATTTACTAGAATTCCACTGATTAATCCTCTCAACTTGAACGTACCATTTATGTAAAATGAGTACTCAAAATAATTGCAGTATTAGTAACGCAAATATGGGTTGCTTATTGATTTTCAGCTAAAGTTTGCAATCTCAATATATGGAGTTTTGGTTTGTTTTAATGACATTTTTCTTTGAAAGTAGATTTGGAGTGAAGCTCACTTAGCCTTCTATGATTTGTGTATTTGTCATTGCTGTTTGCCTTTTAGCTATAAACAACCGTGTGCATATCTGTACAGGAATTCACTTTTATTTCTCACTTTATTTTCCCTTAACAAACATGTGAAATGTTGCAAATTGTCAACAATACTAAACGTTTTATGTAAATTACCTATTTATTTATGTAAGTAATTTGATAATTTAAATCAGGTTTGAAAAAATCTATTTTCTATTTATAACAACATTTTTTAAATAAACATTTCACAAGTATTCTCTCACCAATTTAACAGTTTTGTAAGTTTAAATTTTAAAAAATCTGTCTTTTTTAATGTTAGGGAGAGTTGTAATATCTGTCAGTCGAACAGAGTCTAGAAAAAGAGAGTTCTGAGAAACAACACTAACTCTGGCAACAAAATTACTTATATGAGATGATTATTTTAAAGAAAAGTACATAGTAAAGAAGCAATTTTCTTCATTGAGGAAAAACTGATTTTTAAAAGAATGTTGACCCGAAGAACTTACCAGGAAGAAATAGCATAACTTGCTTTTCTTGTTACTGGAAGTTCAAATTACAGAGTGGAATTAGTCATTTGCTACATAAAAGATAAGCAGATCCCCCAACTTCTATCATTTATGGATTCTAGCTGGAGAGTAAATTTTGGTATGCTTAAAGAAACAAGTAATATTATTTATATGAGAAAATTCTTTCCAGTATATCAAACTAAGAGTTTCGATATTCAAAAGCATATTAATCAGATCATGAGTTTAAGAAAGCACTTATTTTTATACTATTTATAAAATGCTTATTTTTCAAATTTAGCAAAGCAAGTTTACATTCATTAATAAATGTCTGGTGAATGTATCTAATCATAGCTTATTTTTAATAAAATGTTAGCAATATGTTA
Organism: Homo sapiens; assembly: GCF_000001405.40. Taxonomy (NCBI): domain Eukaryota; kingdom Metazoa; phylum Chordata; class Mammalia; order Primates; family Hominidae; genus Homo; species Homo sapiens. The sequence goes on along the minus strand of NC_000004.12, from coordinate 179,463,810 downwards.
CACGAGAAAATAAAGGAATAATTGTCAAGCTACAAGGTATTGCTAATCTCCGGTGTAAACCATTATTTGTGTTTTTGCTACTTTGGTGGGAAGTGGGAAGTATCTGAAATTATGTGGCATAGAAATCCTGAGAACCTAATCCTTTTAGGAACATTAGATTTGTAATAGCAGTCTGATTGTTATCATCAGCCACGACATAAACAATATAGAGTAGATACCACAGTTTTCACTGACTTTTAAAATAAATTATTAATTTCATTCTTGCCTTACGTTCATGATAGAGTATTATTTTCCCAGTATCATGGATAGAAAAATTAACTTTCAGCAAGATTAAGTAATTTGCCAAAGTAATAGAAATAAACACCTTGGAAAGCTGAAATTTAAACTCAATTCACTGTGGCTCTGGAGTCTGTATATTTAATCAATACAGGTATTCTTTTTATTGCTTTACAAACCAGATGTTTTTAAAGAAACTCTGTTATAATATTAGTAAGTTCTAGAAGATATTGAAGGTATGGGAGTAGATTCATTAAATATATTAAAATCTCACACTATATTGACTTGGTGATAAAATAAACTTTATTACCATGAATGAAATAATGTTCCATGTTATATATATTTTGTTGTTTGTAAAGGGTAAGTGGAAACTTCCTTAAATATTATAGAATCAAATTAGTATTGAGTGCCATTTTAAAAATCAATACATTACTATATATCAATCAATCATTTCCTGCACTTCAGTACATAAGGGTCATCATCACCAAACTCTTTTAAACATATCTGTGAGTTTTTATAACTCTACCTATTTAGAGTGAATTTTAGGCAGGTCAAAATTAAAAATTTAATAAATACATTCTTTAACTCTTTTATTTTGAATATTTTCTCTTTATTCATTCACTATCATAATTAGTACAATAATTAAGATCAAACATTATTTACAACCTGTCTATTAAATTGTATCTTGAAGCATGTATGCTTTGTGATGTACTTTTCCATCTGAAATGCCATAAGGTAGAATGGAAGATTTGTATGCATAAATTAACACTTGACTGGTATGGAGTAAGCCATTTAATCCTACACCTCAAAACCACACTACTGTAACTGTCGTCTACAGTTCTGCATACTCCACTAGATAAAAAATCACCTGCAGGAATTTTTTCTTATGATTTGTAAAATATCTATAATACTGACTGGTCATCTGTTGATGTACCATAAATGCTTAGTAATTGAAACGAATGCATGTCTCCTATAACATTGGCAATACATAATATATCCTGTAAGTGAAACAGATTTTAAAACATTGGCAATGCATAATATAAATAAGTATATGAAAACACAAACTACTTTAAATAAAGCATTATTTTAGTTCATGGGTTACTGATTTTGGAAGAATATTGAACTAAAGTATTTTACTTGGAAGAAAGAAAAGAACTTGCTTTTGTCATTCCTGGAAGCACTAATCATGGGATAGAATCAGTTATTTACTGTATACAATTTTCCTATGAGATATAAAGGGATGCTGGGCAGGTGAAGATTTCATTGTCCAAAAGGCTATTTGTAAAGTAGTTAAAAAATCAGAATAAATATTGAGTTAAGATATTTATTTATTACACATAATAATATTCCACTTAATAAATTTTTATTGGTTCCTCGGACATTCCCAAAAGTCTATCATCACAATATAGCTGAAGTGATGTATTACAACATTTTGTTAGGTCAGTGTTTAGGGTATAGTAACAACTGCAATACAACTGCAAACTCTACTGTTTACGTATCACTTGAATAACATATGCTCACTGACCACCTACGAACTTTAGAAGATGTGATTGTTCATTTATCATGATGCATATCTGTTATTTATGTAGTGATGTGAAGACTGAAGAGCTAGCAGTAAAATTCTGATAATCAATAATACCATGACAACTCTAACGAACAATGTTGGTGAAGAGACCAGTGTTATTTTACTAGAGCATTGTTTCTAGACTGGCACCAACCAAGCTAACAAGGGAGAAATCTTCTTAGTAGCTAACAATCATAAACAAAACAGACTTTTTTTCATTAATATGAGTAGATGTAAACATAGAACTTGTAGTGAATACAGGCAGTTCATGCTTTGCACAGATATGGTAGTACTTAAAACTGTACAGGCAGAAACCACAGAGAGTGATCCTAATTATCAATGGAAAAATTCATGATTATTCTTGACTTTAAACATTTTTGTCAGATCATAAAAACTTCCCTTCCTCTAGGTTATAAAGGTATAGGAAAATGGGAAAATCATGAAAGTAATATTACAGAATGCACTGTGATTTAAGACATTAGAAGCGTAGAAAACTAAGTAGAGCATATTGTCATGTGCCTGTCGTCTTAGCCCAGGCAAGATAAGTGAGGCTTCATAAAAAAAAAAAAAAAAAAAAAAAAAAAAAATTATAGGGGACTGAAGTTGTTCTTTTGTATTTTTCTTTTTTTACTTTTTGCATAGAAACTTAAAAATAATTTGAACAATGCTTGCTTTTTTCTTTTCATCATAAAGATTATAAACAGAGTGAATCATTTCTATGCTTGATGAATTGTCATATCGCTTTCAAAGTATGGATCAGCTTCAAACTATCCTTTGCACTTTCAACATCATGAAATATTCCAGATCATTCCTTTAATGGGAAGGTTTTGCCAGTGTCACTTCCTCTGGTATGCCTTCATCCTTCTAGTTACAACCACTTTCTTCATTTATGTTGACCTCTGCCTCACTAAGTTTCTCTGGCCCCATATTCAGTGTCTCTTGAATGGCAGCAGGGCTAATATTCCAGGGTCAGGATTTTCTTCTATAACTCCACTTAAGTTCAATTCGAATTTTACTTCGAGCATTGTCATTTTGTTCCTTTTTTTTTTCATTTTTGTTGGTCAATTCATTCTTTTGATTATTCGTTTTTGTAAAATATCATGTGGGAGAAAAGGAGGTAATACAACTGCAAACTCCACTGTTTATGTATCACTTGAATAACATATGCTCACTGACCAATCGCTTTAAAAGATGTGATTGTTCATTTATCGTGATGCATATCTGTTATCTATGCAGTGATGTGAAGACTGAAGAGCTAGCAGTAAAATTCTGAGAGTCAATAATACCATGGCAACTCTAATTTGAACAATGTTGGTAAAGAGACCAGTGTTATCTTACTAGACCATTGCAACTGAAATTCATGCACACTCAAACCATCTAAAGCCAATACCATCTGTAGTTATTGTTTTAATATGTGAAAGCTACTCATTTGATATGTCAGTATCATATCCTGTTACTTTATTATTCATTTAATTATTGGTGAGTTTTCTCCTAGACACTTGTGAGCATTGGTTTTAAACTATTATATTATCTGCAGATAACAACAGCATCGATTTTAAACATTTCAATATTTTCTATTTTCTGATTATGCTGGTTAATTCCTTCAACAGAATACAAAACAGTGGTAAAGATAGTACCTTGTTCATCCCTAATTTAACAAGGATGCAAACAGTGTTTCCCCATTTAAAAACAGGTTGGCATAACATTTGCTAAGGAAAAATACATCAATTTACATATTATTATTGCTTTATCAGAAATGAGTGATTGTATTAATCTATTTTCATGCTGCTGATAAAGACATACCTGGGTCTGGGCAATTTACAAAAGAAAGTGGTTTATTGGACTTACAGCTCCACATGGCTGGGGAGGCCTCACAATCATGGTGGAAGGTGAAAGGCACGTCTCATATGGCAGCAGACAAGAGAAGGGAGCTTGTGCAGGGAAACTCCTCTTTTTAAAACCATCAGATCTCGTAAGACTTATTCACTATCACGAGAACAGCATGGGAAAGGCCCACCCCATAATTCAATTAGCTCCCATTGGGTCCCTCCCACAACACATGGAAATTCAAGATGAGATTTGGGTGAGGACACAGCCAAATCATATCATTCCACCCAGCCCCTCCCAAACATCATGTCCTCATATTTCAGAACCAATCATGCCTTCGCAATAGTCCCCCAAAGTCTTTACTTATTTCAGCATTAACCCACAATCCAAAGTCTCATTTGAGACAAGGCAAGTCCCTTCTGCCCATGAGCCTGTAAAATTAAAAGCAAGTTAGTTACTTCCTAGATACAATGGGGGCTCAGTTATTGGGTAAATATAGCTGTTCCAAATGGGAGAAATTGGCCAAAACAAAGGGTCCACAGCCCCCATGCAAGTCCAAAATCCAGCAGGCCAGTCAAATCTTAACGCTCCCAAATGATCTCCTTTGACTCCATGTCTCACATCTGGGTCACATTGATGCAAGAGGTGGGTTCCCATGGTCTTGGGAAGCTCTGCCCCTGTGGCTTTGCAGGGTATAGCCTTCTTCCCAGCTGCTTTCATGGGCTGGCATTGAGTGTCTGTGGCTTTTCCAGGTGCATGGTGCAAGCTGTCAGTGGATCTACCATTCTGGGGTCTGGAGAACAGTGGCTGCCTTCTCACAGCTCCTCTAGTTGGTGCCCCAGTAGGGACTGTGTGTGGGGGCTCTGACTCCACATTTCCCTTTTGCACTGACATAGCAGAAGTTGTCCATGAGGGCCCCATCCCTGCAGCAAACTTCTGCCTGGATAGGCATTTCCATACATTTTCTGAAACCTAGGTGGAGGTTCCCAAACCTCAGTTCTTGACTTCTGTGCCCCCATAGGCTCAACACCACATGGAAGCTGCCAAGGCTTGGGGCTTCCACCCTCTGAAGCCACAGTCCAAGCTCTATGTTGGCCTCTTTCAGCCATGGCTGGAGCAGCTGGGACACAGAGCACCAAGTCCTTAGGCTGCATACAGCATGGGGACCCTGAGCCAGGCTCATGAAATCACTTTTTTCTTCTAGGCCTCTGGGCCTGTGATGGGAGGGGCTGCCATAAAGACCTCTGACATGCCCTGGAGGCATGTTCCCCATTGTCTTGGGTATTAATATTCAGCTTCTTGTTACTAATGCAAATTTCTGCAGCCAGCTTGAATTTCTCTTCAGAAAATGGGATTTTCTTTTCTATTGCATTGTCAGGCTGCAAATTTTCCAAACTTCTAAGCTCTGCTTCCCTTATAAAAGTGAATGCCTTTAACAGCACCCAAGTCACCTCTTGAATGCTTTGATGCTTAGAAATTACTTCTCCTGGATACCCTAAATCATCTCTCTCAAGTTCAAAGTTCTACAAATCTCTAGGGCAGGGGCAAAATGCTGCCAGTCTCTTTGCTAAAACATAACAAGAGTCACCTTTGCTCCAGTTCCCAACAGGTTTCTCATTTCCATCTGAGACCACCTCAGCCTGGACTTTATTGTACGTATCACTATCAGCATTTTGGGCAAAGCAATTCAACAAGTCTCTGGGGGAGTTCCAGATTTTACTACATTTTCCTGTCTTCTTCTGAGCCCTCCAAACTGTTCCAACCTCTGCCTGTTACCCAGTTCCAAAGCTGGTTCCACATTTTCAGGTATCTTTTCAGCAGAATCTTACTCTACTGGTACCAATTTACCGTATTAGTCCGTTTTCATGCTGCTGATAAAAACATACCCGCGACTGGGCAATTTACAAAAGAAAGAGGTTTACTGGACTTACAGCTTCATGTGGCTAGTAAGGCCTCACGATCATGGTGAAAATTGAAAGGCATGTCTCACATGGCAGCAGACAAGAGAAGAGAGCTTGTGCAGGGGAACTCCCTTTTTTAAAACCATCAGATCCTGTGAGACTTATTCACTATCATGAGGACAGCATGGGAAAGACCCTCCTCCACGATTCCATTACCTCCCACTGGGTCCCTCCCACAACATGTACAAATTCAAGATGAGATTTGGGTGGGGACACAGCCAAAACATATCAGTGATAAATTTGTTAAGGGCCTTTTTAGCAATTAATGTGATCAAATAGCTTTTGTCCTTAGATATCTTCATGAAGTGAGTAATAGTAAATTGTAGTATGATATCAACCATCCTTGCATTCCAGGGAATTATAACATTTGGTTATGAGGTATTATTTTTTCACATGCTAATTTATTTGTTTTTGCTGATATTTATTTCAAATTTTTATTTTGATATTTCTTTTTTCTTCTTTTTTTATCTTTTTTATTTTCTTTATTTTATTTTATTTTATTATTATACTTTAAGTTTTAGGGTACATGTGTACAATGTGCAGGTTAGTTACATATGTATACATGTGCCATGCTGGTGTGCTGCACCCATTAACTCATCATTTAGCATTAGGTATATCTCCTAAAGCTATCCCTCCCCACTCCCCCCACCCCACAACAGTCCCCAGAGTGTGATGTTCCCCTTCCTGTGTCCATGTGTTCTCATTGTTCAATTCCCACCTATGAGTGAGAATATGCGGTGTTTGGTTTTTTGTTCTTGCGATAGTTTACTGAGAATGATGATTTCCAATTTCATCCATGTCCCTACAAAGGACAGGAACTCATCCTTTTCTATGGCTGCATAGTATTCCATGGTGTATATGTGCCACCTTTTCTTAATCCACTCTATCATTGTTGGACATTTGGGTTGGTTCCAAGTCTTTGCTATTGTGAATAGTGCCGCAATAAACATACGTGTGCATGTGTCTTTATAGCAGCATGATTTATAGTCCTTTGGGTATATACCCAGTAATGGGATGGCTGGGTCAAATGGTATTTCTAGTTCTAGATCCCTGAGGAATCACCACACTGACTTCCACAGAGGTTAAACTAGTTTACAGTCCCACCAACAGTGTAAAAGTGTTCCTATTTCTCCACATCCTCTCCAGCACCTGTTGTTTCCTGACTTTTTAATGATTGCCATTCTAACTGGTGTGAGATGGTATCTCATTGTGGTTTTGATTTGCATTTCTCTGATGGCCAGAGATCGTGACCATTTTTTCATGTGTTTTTTGGCTTCATAAATGTCTTCTTTTGAGAAGTGTCTGTTCGTGTCCTTCGCCCACTTTTTGATGGGGTTGTTTGTTTTTTTCTTGTAAATTTGTTTGAGTTCCTTGTAGATTCTGGATATTAGCCCTTTGTCAGATGAGTAGGTTGCGAAAATTTTCTCCCATTTTGTAGGTTGCCTGTTCACTCTGATGGTAGTTTCCTTTGCTGTGCAGAAGCTCTTGAGTTTAATTAGATCCCATTTGTCAATTTTGGCTTTTGCTGTCAATGCTTTTGATGTTTTAGACATGAACTCCTTGCCCATGCCTATGTCCTGAATGGTAATGCCTAGGTTTTCTTCTAGGGTTTTTATGGTTTTAGGTCTCACATTTAAGTCTTTAATCCATCTTGAATTAATTTTTGTGTAAGGTGTAAGGAAGGGATCCAGTTTCAGCTTTCTACATATGGCTAGCCAGTTTTCCCAGCACCATTTATTAAATAGGGAATCCTTTCCCCATTGCTTGTTTTTCTCAGGTTTGTCAAAGATCAGATAGTTGTAGATATGTGGCGTTATTTCTGAGGGCTCTGTTCTGTTCCATTGACCTATATCTCTATTTTGGTACATATTTCTAAAAAACATGTTCCTTTCAATTTCTGAAGCTGGGTCATTTTTGGGGAGGTGCTTTGAATTTTTTTTCTATATTGGTTATTGTCACTGGATTATTTAGACTTCCAGTCCTTCATAAGGTCATATTTTGTGAATTATTTTTGATACTATTATTCACAACATCTGGCCTTTCAAATTTATTTGCCTTAAATCCTACAAAGTAAAGTTATAATCTTTGCTTTCTTTCATTATCATTTTTTATAATTTGATAGTTATTCTTCTCTTTCTATTTCTCATATTTTATTGTATGTATCTGTCTTCATGTTTCTTCTCCTTTTCTGTTTTTTTTTTTTAGCTTTTGATTAAATTGGATAAGCTCACCTTTTAATTACACTTTTAAAATATATGCCTTAAGCACATTTATATTTATTCTTAAGACCAATTCATTTCATCCAGTTCTGCCATATTCTTTTATATTTCATTTACCAGGTAACATTCCTTGTTTCTTTTTGTTTCTTTTACTTTTAAAAAGTATTGTTGTTCAAGAGATTATTTTTAAACCAATACCTTTATAATTTATGAGTAGGCACAGGTTTCTGGATACTCTCTTTTGCTTTATTAGTAATAATTAAGTGGTATGTTTTCTTCTCCTCTTCTTCCTCCTTTCACAACCTTCTTTTATTAGTAATTAATACTGTTTTAATGTTAATCTTTCCATATCATAGCATCTACTACCAGTAGCTAATATTCTGGTCCAGCTGGTCTCATTCCAATTCTTCATAGATTCTCTCAGATTAAAGCATAATCAGTGTGAATTAAAAACTAGAAAATGCAATCTGTTTTTTGTTAGCATTAGAAACTAACATACTTTCCTTTACTTCATGAAGCACTTGTCAATTTTCTTCTCTGCCATCAGGTCTCCTGAAAATATTTATCCACTCACATAGAAATGGAAGTCTGCAGTCTTCTCTATCTCCTAGATATGCTAAAGTTGTTAATTATGGGAAATTTTAAAGTAGTTTTCTTGTTAAACTGTAAGGTTGCAGGTGAGTATGTGGAGAGATTCAAATTATAGTAGCTTGTGCTATCCCTCTCTCTTTTTTAGAGGAGTAAAGGTAGAATTTGTTCATGATGTATGCTATATATATCACTATGATTTACATTATATTGTAATGTTATCTTAAACACTTTTCCAAATAAGCTACTCAAGATAATCAGTTATCTTTGGACATGAATGGTGGCATTATTTGTTAGAAACAAGAAACTGCTACCACTTCCAACACTCTTTTGAAACTATGTTCTGAGTATATAATTCAAAAACATCTCAAAAAAAAAAAAACCAAAACAACTCAATAGCAACAACAACGAAACAAAAACAAGTTTATAAATACACCCATTGCTAATAGCACAACATCCATTCTCATGCACATTGCATATAGAAAATCAATATGCAAACCATTTTATGAGTATAAATACCAGCAATGTCTTCCTATATCAGGTGGGGCCTCATGAAGAGCCAGACAGAGAATAGAAACTCATTTTTTTGATAATATGATTCTGAAAGATTGACTCATGCTAAAAAAGGCTAAGTTCTAAAAGATTTGCTTATTTCATTTATAATGTACACAAAACTATATATTTTTTCCAGTATTTTGGAAATCCTACATGTCATTCTTAGAAAAATTAAATTAAAAAGCTGTGGTAATCATGGAACAAAGAATATAGATGAACTTCAAGACTACTTTAGGCTTTAGGAAAAGATTGAGAATTATATCTGTGCTTTTAATTCATGCTGCTCCGCAGAAGTCTATTCAAAGTTTTTTTTTTCCAGTGTTTTCATTGCGGTAAGATACATACAATGCAACTTTATCATTTTGGTCATGTTTAAGCTTATATTTCAATAGTATAGCATACATCAGCATTGTTGTGAAATCATCAATACACTGTATCTCCATAACTCTTTTCTTCTTGCAAAACTGAAACTCTATACTCATTAAACAATAATTTCCATTTTATCCTCCCTTTAGCCCCTGGAAGCTGCCATTCTACATTCTGTATCTATGATTTTGACTACTCTAAGTGTCTCACATAAGTAGAATCATACAGTATTTGTCTTTTTGTGACTACCTTATGTCACTTAGCCTTATGTCCTCAAATTTCAGCTGTGGTGTAAAAGATGTCCGAATTTTGTTTCCTTTGAAAAGCTGAATAATATTCTATTGTATGTATATTCCACATTTTGACAAAAACTCTGTTCCTTAAGCAGTTTTGTCCCATCCCTTTGTCATTAAGGTCACAGAGTTACATCCTTATACACCATGTGTTCAAATATGACTAATAATTTTAATGACTTAGTCCCTTAAATTATGCAGAAAACAAAAAGTAGAGTTATGCATTATTGTTATAATAATACTACCTTTTAATAATTGCCCACATATCTATATTTACCATTACTGAGATCTTTATTTCTTCATACTGCCTTGACTTACTGAATAGTGTCCCTGTATTTCAAATTGTAGGCCTGTTTTTAGCAATTTTTGAAAAACAGGGTATTGTGATAACCATCTCTCTTAGGTTTTGTTTATCTGAGGATGTCTTCATTTCTCCTTCACTTTAAAAAAACAGTTTTGCTAGATATAGAATTCTTAGTTGACAGTATTTTTTTTCTTTTAGAAATTTAAATGTACTGGTTCATTGCCTTCTGGCCTCCAAAGTTTCTAATGAAAAACCTGCTGATAATCTTATTAAGGATCCCAATCGTATTGTGATGAGTAGCTTCTCCTCTGCTACTTTTACATTTATCTCTTTGTCTTTTAATAGTTTGATTATAATATCTCTTGGTATGGGTCTCTTTAGGTTTACCCTAGTTGATGTTTATTCAGTTTCCTGAATGTCTATATGCATTTTTTTCCATCAATTTTGGCCATTATTTCTTGAATATTTTCTCCTCTTCTGTTTTTTACTCTTCTAACACATTGTGTAATTAGTTTGTTTGATGGTGTCCCACAGGTCTGTAAATTTCTGTTCATTTTTTTCTTTAATCTTATTACTTTCCATTTCTCAGATTTAATAATTTCCATTGTCCTATCTTTAAGTTGCTGATTATTTCTTTCACCTGCTCAATTCAGCCTTTGAATTTCTCTAGTGAATTTTTTATTAGTTTTCTATCCCTCTATTATATTCCATTGTGTTCATCATTTTCTTCTTCACATCTTCTTTTAGTTCTTTGAGTATCTTTAAGGCACTTGTTTTAAAGTCTTTGCCCAGTAGATCCATCAAAAGGTCTTTTTTTGATATAGTTTCTGTTGATTTTTTTTCCCTTTAGATGGGCCATGTTTTTCTTTTTCTTTTTTTTTTTTTTTTTTTGCTTTGTGATTTTCTTTTGTTGTTGAAAACTGTATATTTGAATCAAATAATATGGTAACTCTGAAAACTAGATTCTTCCTCCTCCTCAGAGTTTGATGATTTCTTTGTTTTGTTTTTGTTGTAGTCAGTCTCCATGCTGAGCATCAGCCTGAGGTATAAACTTGAGGTCTTCTCAGATGTTTGCCAAGGCTTTCCCTGGGCATGCGACATGACTACTAGTTTCCCCTGTATGTTGATGTCCTAGTATTCAATGTTTGGCTGCCTTCCAAAACAGAAAGAGAGAGAAATGAAGGGAGAATAGAAAGGATGCCGACCTTTTAAATTGTTGGGAAGTCACTTCAGCCATACAACACAGGAGGCTAGGGTTGAGACAACAGTGGTTGCTATCTCTGTGTCTGAACCTCTGTGATCAGAAGCAGTTACTTACAGCACATATTCCTGATATTTGGAGAACAGATTTCTTTTTTCCCATCCTGGCTCCCACATGTTTGTGCAACCTACTCCAGGAACACATACACGACTGCCTGTCCTGGGGCTGATGAGTGAGGGATGGGTGACCACTGCGTTCAGAGCTAAAATTGCCTGATACTAACCAAAATTTTCTGTCCAAGACTTGTCTTGGATGTTGAAAGCCTTCAAGAGACTCCAGAGTTCCAAAATAGTTGCATTGGACGGATTGTGCCTATGCAATTGTTGTCTAGGTGGAGAAACAGATTACTGGTGCTTTCTACTCATACATCGTCCAGAATTCTCTATCCAAAGTCATCTTTAAATACAATGCAAAATGTTAACTAGCATTTGTATGTAATATACATTCTTTATATTATAAAACCTTACAAAATGTCATGATTTTGAAAGAATAGTGTGGGTAGTTAATGCTTCGTAGTAAATGGGTCATTTGTACATTTTTGAGCAGTTAAATTATTATATAGCATTAATCTAGCACACTATTGTCATTGATAGTTCCAAATAATATGCTGTGGGTGAGAATGTTTGCATTCCCTAATGCTATTCTATATTATAAACCAGGTGGGTTCTCCTGCATTGTTTCAGATAGATAACTATTGTTAAAAAATAAATTCATGCTGCCATACGTCCCAGGACACCTTATACAGAATTGTAGATTATAATTGCACAAAATTGTGAATAGACACCTGCACCTATTCAAAACAGGGTGTCCCTTCGGATCTTCCAAAGCAAATTTTTGAATACCATATAGCTCATATTTTAAATTAGTTAATCCCAAACATATCCATTAAATTTGTCAAAAATCTGTCATGCTTTTGTTATTATTATTATTATTTTTGCACAAAGAAGACAAACAGAATACTTTCTATCGATACCAGTACAGAAAGTATACTTATTGCAGTGTGGAACTCAGGTGGCTCAGTGCTAAGTATATATGTAACACAGAAACAAAAAAGCATAGTCAAATAAGTGATTTATAAAGACATGAAATAATATGAGCAACACTAGAGAAAATTAATGTGAAAAAACTACCATAGTACAATCTAAAATACTATATAAACTATCTGAAAACACCACCAACTTCTATTTACTTGATGAGCAGTGGTTTCACACAAGATAGTTACTTCTTTTGGGAAAAAGACATTTTCAGTGATTTGTCTAGCTTTACTGCTTATTATTTACAGGAAACTAAATGTTTGGTGCTGTGTAATAAGATTCTATAGCATTATACTGTTTTGCAAAATAATTTTGGCAAATATAATTTCATATATTTATCTAAATAATATTTTGATGTGATTATTATTTTACATATGAGGAAACTGATCACTTGACAACTTGTCGACTTTCTCAAGGTCAGAGCGAGAGAGAAACAGATCCCAGATTTCCAGCTACATCTATTTGATTTCAAGTCCTGGATTATTGACACCACCAGCCTAAATATATAAACAAAATGTGGTTCTTGTCTTCAATAAAATTACAAATTAGCACTTACGGCATGAAGACAAAAACATACAATTGTAAGGAACCAATGATACTATTAACATTTAGTATTGACTGTGAGATAAAGGGCTAAAGTTAGAAGTCAGCACCTTTGGCTACAACTCTGGAACGAATAACCACCACCATCTTCTTTGGCTGCAAATAACCATGCAGTATGCAAGCGTCTTTGGTATTCCCAGAGTCACAGTTTCAGCTCTCTCTGTGGATTTGTAAACATACAGGACTGTAAATCTCTCCCTGAAGAATTGGAACTTTTTGCAGATAACCAAGACTGCTGTCACCAGTGCTTTTAGGTCTTTTCTCCATGGGAAACTCTGTCACTTTACTTCAGTCTCTCATGCTTTTTTTTTTTTTTTTTAAAGCTAATATATCTCTGTTGAGAGTCAGCATGGCTTGTCCAGCAGCTGTCACTTTGCAGCAATCAATGGCCATATTTTATTGCTTTGGGTTATATTTCCTTGTAACCATTATCTCTAAATTCAACCTCCAGAAAAATCTTTGAGGTCTCTTGACAGAACATTATGTTGTTGAAATTAACTGAAGAATAGCAAAATAAAATTTGAACCTTTCTATATTTCCAACTTTTGTGAAATTTAAAAGCATGTGGCAAAAGTAAATTAAAAGAATCATAGACTAGGGCTGGGCACAGTGGCTCACACCTATAATTCCAGCACTTTGGGAGGCTGAGGGGGGCGGATCACAAGGTCAGGAGATTGAGACCATCCTGGCTAACACGGTGAAACCCCATCTCTACTGAAATTACAGAAAATTAGCTGGGCGTGGCGGTGGGCGCCTGTAGTCCCAGCTACTCAGGAGGCTGAGGCAGGAGAATGGCGTGAACCTGGGAGGCAGAGATTGCAGTGAGCTGAGATCGCGCCACTGCACTCCAGCCTGGGCAATAGAGTGAGACTCCGTCTTGTCTCAAAAAAAAAAAAAAAAAGAATCATAGACTAACATTGACATAGAGCAAATATACGCTACCATAATTTATGGGGCTCATTTTATCAATAAATGTACATGGTCATACAAATTATATAATATATAAGTTATCTCATCATTTTTTATTAAAATAATGTGGGGTGTTAATTTGGGGAATGTTCATTAAGAGAATATGTAAATGTTCAATTAATATTTTTCAAAAAGAACATAAGATAAATAATATGCCAGTTTTATACTTTTTTTTTTATTAAAAAGAGATGAGCCAGCCATTACTTAGAGAAGTTGGTTCCCTGAGTTGGAACTAACAGGTATCTGTTACTTGATTATTTCATTTGATGGGGACCAGAGCCTCAGCAACTGCTTCCCAAGATCAGAAATTCAGCTTCATTTGTGACCTCAGAGTGAATAAACTGCTTAGGCACTGACTTGCACAAACAAATATCTATACATATATCTATGTCTATGTGTATGTCCTCTCTATCTTGATCTTTATGTATATATCATAACATCACATTTCACATCACAAGAGATATATAAATTTTATGTATACCCATAGATACCCATGCCAACATATAAGTGATCCTCCTACCAGGTAGCAAAGAGCCTGAGTGGCCACATCATAATCAGAAGATCATTTAGTAGGTATAGAAACAGTAATAGGAGTACTATGGATTTGATAAACACTTAATTTAGGCCATGGAGAAGCTTAATAAATCACCCTGTCTGCTGAGTATGAAATTTCCTTCTGTTTTTCAGAATTATCATATCTCCCCTGTATCATGCTATATAAACACAATGAAATTTTGGCAATAGGCTCCACTTCTAGATTTTACAAAGAAATTATTCTGTATAAATGCATTATTTTCTGCAGGCATTTTGTTATTAATGAATCAGTTATAGGTCTTTTTTTCTTTTACATGAATCGGCTGTCAGATATGCCTCCATGGGATGTTTATTCTGTTAACTTAAAAATCATTAAAAGGGCCAGAATCTAGCTTAAAGAGTGTATTTATTTATTCATTTATTTATTGAGATAGGGTCTCACTCTGTCACCCAGGCTGGAGTGCAGTGGCATGACCTGTTATTTATATTTATTTATTTATTTGGGCAGGATCTCTCTCTGTTGCCCAGGTTGGGGTGCAGTGGCTTGATCAAAGCTTACTACAGCCTTGACCTCCTGGGCTCAAGTGATCCTCCCACTTCAGACTACCTGAGTATCTGGGGCTACAGGTGCAAGCCACCACGTCCAGCTAGATTTTTTTAAACATTTTAACAGAGATGAGGTCTCACTTTGTTGCCCAGGCTGGTCTTAAACTCCTGAGCTCAAGTGTTCCTCCAGCCTCAGCCTCTCAAAGTGCTGGCATTACAGGTGTAAGCCACTGTACCCAGCCCTTAAAGAGTTTATTTAAGTGTAAAGATTGAGGACAGCCACCTGGGAAGTATAGATTTTAAAGAATGGAAGTCAGCATTTTCTAAGTATAGTTGTTTGAGATTGTTTATATAGACAAAGCTTAGGAAAATTTAATAGAATTTTAATTTTTTACTATCAGGCTCAATGCATAGTTATAATGGTCTGGTTAGGAGGTGGTCTTTTTTTGGGGGAAATCCATATTTAGTTTTTTATGTTGAAGATGTAATAGTCATGGGTCTTGGGCATCCTCACATCTGAGCTTGGTAAATGGCAATAAAGAGGAAGTTAATTTACAATAAATTTCAGTGACTGGAAATGGCGCAGGTCTGATCTCTGGTCTCTCCTGGTCATTTATAGAATAAAAACAATGAGGAAGAGAGTTAATCTATAACTTTAGAAGCAGAAGTTGTAAAAATGTTACATGATTCAATCTAAAGGGCTTAACTTATCCCTTGACATAATACATTTAAAGAGTCCTAAAATTTTATTCTCTTTTGCAATTTCCCTCACTTTTCTTGATTTCCTCTGCCACACATTTATACCTACACCATCATGCTTTGATGCATCCTAGTTCTATATCCTGAGGTCTTTTTCATTTCCATTTCCATTTTTTTCTACTGGACAAGTATAAATTATACCAGAGAAATGAGGCCATATTTGGAATTCAGATGGCTTAGGGATATTATGCCTAAGTTTATCATAGTTTTACATGTTACCTCTGGATTGAAAAGAGAGAAATAACATCATATTACATCATGCATGACATTTTTTCAGAGACAGGACTGTGGGAGGCTTTAGTTATTTGATAAAAGGTTTGCAAGAATTAACTGAGATTTTTTTTTTTCTCTCTATGCCCTTTCATAGTGTGACTCTGCAGCTCCTTCCGAAATAGGTGTAATCTATTTTCCCTACCCTTGGATTTGGTCTGGCTTTGTGGCTTGCTTTGGCAGAAATGACACTGTGGAAGTTCCAAGCCAGACCTCAAAAGGCCTTTCACAGTTTTGCTCTTACTTTTAAAAATTTGCTCAGTTGCCATTAGAAAAATTGTGGGTGAACTCGTTGGATGACTGAAGACCTGTGGCTCAGTTGCCCTCATTTCACCAGCTGACAGCCAGCCAGCTCCCAAAACAGAGCTGTGTTGCTGACTGCTGAACAGATGAATGAATGAGCTCAGCTGAGGCCAAGAGAACCATCCAGCTGAACCTAGCCAAAACTGCTGACTCACAGAATCTCTAGTTAAGTAAATGGTTGTTGTTTTAAGCCCCGAAATTTTGTATGGTTTGCTACTGTCATGAGCTGAATTGTGTCTGCTACTCATTCATATGTTGAAATCCTAACTTCTGGTATCTCAGAATTACATTAACTGGTGATAGAGTAATTGCAGATATAATTAGGTAAGGTTAGAGGAGGTCACACAGTGCTAGGATGGGCTCTTAATTTAATCTGACTTGCGTTCTTATAAAGAAAGAGAATTGGCTAGGCGTAGTGGCTCATGCCTATAATCTCAGCTCTTTGGGAGGCCAAGGAGAGTGGATCACCTGAGGGCAGGAGTTCGAGACCAGCCTGGCCAACATGGCAAAACCTCATCTCTACTAAAAATATAAAAATTAGCTGGGCGTGGTGATGGGTGCTTGTAATCCCAGATACTTGGGAGGCTGAGGCAGGAGAACTGCTTGAACCCAGGAGGCGGAGGTCGCAGTGAGCCGAGATTGCGCCACTGCACTCCAGCCTGGACAACAGGAGCGAAACTCTGTCTCAAAATAAAATAATAATAATATATATTTTTAAAATTGAGAATTCAATACAAACATGCACACAAGGAGAACACCATGTGTAGATTCAGGGTGATGCTTCCATAGGGCAAGGAATGCTGTAGGTTGGCAGCAGACCAGCAGAAGCTAGGAGAAAGGCATGAAATTGATTCCCTCTCACAGGAACCAAACCTGACAACACCTTGTTCTTGGGCTTGTAGCCTCTGGAACTGGGAGACCATGATTTTATGGTTTTTAAGCCATCCAGTTTGTGCTTCTTTGTTGTGATGTCCCTAGCAAACTAATATAGTGATGCAAGAAAGGCTAATTCAGCCACATACTCATCTAAAGGAAATACACAACACAACCTTCACCCTCAAGGTGTTTAAATGTATTTTGAAATACATCTAAATATACATATTTGTATTAGCTCGTTCTCACGCTGCTATAAAGAACTGCCCGAGACTGGGTAATGTATAAAGGAAGGAGGTTTAATTGATTCATGGTTCTGCATTGCTGGGGAGGCTTCAGGAAACTTACAATCATGGTGGAAGGCCAAGGAGAAGCAGGACCTTCTTCGCAGGGCGGCAGGGAAGAGTGAGTGCAAGTGAGACAACCAAGTATAAAGGGTGACCAGAGAACCTCCAACCAATCTGAGCACTGGGAGGAATGCACACTGGAGCGGAGCCTCGGAAAGTTTGCATTGTTTGCAGCAGGGATAGCCTCTCCTGTTCTGGGGTGGAACCTGGAATTCAATCTGCAAGGTGGGAAGCCTATACTAGCAGGACTCTCGCTCTGCTGAGGGTCCCTGTTTCCCTTTTTTCCCCCTTTTGCCCAATAAGTTCTATTTCTCTCACCCTTTGAAGTGTCTGCATGCCTAATATTTCATGGTCGTGTGACAAGGACCCCATTTTCAGCTGAACTAATGAGAAAATTCTGCAACATAAGCAGGGGAAATGCCAGATACTTATGAAACCATCAGATCTCCTGAGATTCGCTCACCATCACAAGAGCAGCAGTGGGTAAACTGCCCCCATGATCCAATTACCTCCATCCTTGGTCCCACCCTTGATAAGCGGGGATTATGGAGATTACAATTCAAGATGAGATTTTGGGTGGGAACAAAACCAAACCATATCAGTACTATTCAGAAAATTAAAAATATGTGCTATCTTGTAGTGTTGGTAGTAAATAATGAGGGCCATGTATTTTGCCATTATTTAGGGAAGGAAGAATTGACTGGGTATGTTACAAGTCTTCATGTGAGAAATATGCTCGTGTGCCTGTATCTTAAAGAATAAAGAGATCCTGAAAAATGGAGAAGAGTAGAAGAGATGGTAGAAACAAAAGTCCAGGAGCTCAGATGAAGACTTGTTTGTGGAAAAATGCTTGAGCCAAATCAACTATTTTAAAAATGGATTATATTGGGGAATTGAAGAAAATAAACATGCAGTTTGTAGGTATTATAGACTAGAAAGGCTCAAGATCTCATAAAGCTTAGTCACACCATTTAAACATTATTTTATAAGTACTGAAAAAATTATGCATGGAAACTGTACACAAATACACTTTAATTTGCAGATTAAATGTATGGGAGTGATAAAGATTAGTGAAGAAAAACCACTTATAAACTTCTCACTCCATTCTTGCTGATGAAATTCTGGAGAATGCTGGTAACTTATGGAAAAAAATGGCTGGCATTAACACATATTTGTAGGGCTTGATAAGTTATAACTGTCTTTTAGCTTTGGACAGGTGGTTTAATTTTGCCACCATTAGTTTTAAAAAATGGGACAGTTGGAAAGAGTCCTGGTTTTCCGGAAAAATTTGAAGTTTAGGTTTTAATTACTCTGAAGTTAAAGTGTTTGCAGAACATATAAATGAAAATAATCAGCCTTTAGTGAGCCATAGCTAACAGCAGAGGTCATAATTGACTGTGCATAGTTACAAATCTTTTAATTCAACTGCCTCTGTTTCCTCTAGGTCATTAAATTTCAGTTACTTAAATAGAAAAGTGCTAGAGAGGAGTCCATATTGAAACCAGCAACGGAATTTAGGTAACCTCTGCTCACATGTGCATGTCCAAGCAAGATGGTGTCCAAAGCAGCCAGGCACATTCTCTCATGTTAGAAACGAGTGGTCCTACTAGCATTGTTCACAGAATTCTAAACACCTCACAATGAACAGGTACATGATTTCATGACCGGAAGAATGATGCATGTAGTTGCCAATCAGAAAAGTAGATTCGTCAAAAATCAGCATTTGCCTTTTAGTGGGGAAAATACTAGAAACAACTATGTATTTCGCATGTCTCTCAAAACTGGCAGTCACACATATTTCCTATTTTACTTCAGGTTTACTCAGTCTGAAGGATAACTTCCTTTCTTTTAAAAATATCTTCTCAAGGTCTGCAATGTTAATTTGAATATAGGATGAGCAGTGCTATCCTAAATGACTCTTTCCAATATAGTTAAAAAATTTAGCTAACTATATTAGTGTCATGCAATAACATACATTCCTGGCAGGATCTCACTTTTACATCATCTAATACATCTAGAAAACAGTTGGTGTGCCCTGTACTTAGGATCTCGCTGTACACCTTTTTTCGATGGTAATGAATAATGAACAAAAAAACACACAGCACAGCTGGAGAACCCAGTCATCTTGTTCAAATAAACTATCTTATTAAAAAGGGAAAATTCATGAATGCTATATAAAAATACATTCTAGTCAGGTGTGATGGTTCACGCCTGTAATCCCAGCTACTCAAGAGACTGAGTCAGGAGGATTCCTTGAGCCCAGAAGTCCAAGACCACCCTGGACAACATAGTGAGATATCATTCGAAAAAACAAATGACAACAACAACAGCAAAAAACCCCTTTCTGGGAATTTCAACTCTTGTAATTTTCTCAGAAACAAAACCTGAAGCTCCAAGAGAATTAGAGATTTTGAAGGAAATAGAAGGGCAGAAAACAGTATAGAGTGAGTAAGAAAGGTGAAATATTGGTGGAGGAGAAAGATAAATAGATGTTTTAAAAACAGAATTTGCTTCCAAAGATTATGGTAGGCAGATCTGGAATAATTCTTATATTATAAATATTAAGATAAAGAGGTTCATACTGGGAAAGTTTTCTAGGTTCACAATTCTCATACATTAGAACTTAGAAGTAGTCTAAGCACATGCTTCAATGCTCTTTCAAAACTCATTGTGGAGAAATCCATACACACACCATGTATATAACACAATAATGTAAAGCCACGTGAGTTATGCGTGTAATTGTGCTGGTCTTCCGGAATTCTTTCTATAATTTCAAAGCCCAAAAAGCAAACCATTGAACTGAATCAGAAGCTGAATAAATACCCCATATGTGTTTGTTATACATAATGGATGCTTTCTGTTTTTAACATTTAATGTATAAAGATAAATTTTCAAATGCTCCAAAATATTATCAACCCATGTCATTTGTTATCACTGGTGCCACTGGTGCTGAATTCTTTATCATGATTCACACACAGTGCGTGCTCTCAAGGAAAAGCATTTCATAGCAGATCATTTATCCTGTACTTTTAGTATATACAAATCTCTAAAGGAAGGCTGAATTTATGGTTAACAAGCTATGCATAAGGATTTTTAATTGTAACCATTACTATTCTGAATAAAGAGCAAATAAAAATTGAACTGTAGAAATCAAAACAACTATAGATTTTGGTTTTAAATCAGTTATATTCATCATAGTACCCTAAATAGTGTTAAAAAATATTCTGATGGATATTCATAAACATGCTTTTAAAACAACTGGTTTTCTCTAGGATTTATAGGAGCTTATGGAAATGTAATCATCAACTGTTGCATCTCACTGTTGAAAAGGCATATTTTCTTACCAGTTTCCTTCACTGGCTTATAATAACAAGAGTTTAGATGTGACCTCTCTCTAGTGATAATATGGACAAGTATTGGAGAACCAATAGGATATGGAAAAAAAAAAGAAAAAGTTGATGTTCACACAAACTTTGTAATTTTGGCAACAAACATCTAATCACAAGTATATTTTATCTGTCATATTCTATCAATGACAAGAGTATTTGTAATTAAGAAAGCAGAGATTACATCTGAATGTTTAAAAATACAGCAGTGGCTGGGCATGATGGCTCATGCCTATCATCCCAGAACTTTGGGAAGCTGAGGTGGGAGGTCACTTGGAACTAGGAGTTTGAGACCAGTCTGGGCAACATAGTAAGACATCATGTCTACAAAAGAAACAACAACAAAAATCACAAACAGAAACTGATTTTGTGTGCTATATTTTTATTGATATGAAGGGAAGGAAATGATGGTTTTCATACTTTCAAAGAATGCCTGTGCCTATCCATAAGTTTAAATATTTTATGTTTGTGATACCTAAGTTTAAATACCTTATAAGTGTATCCATATTATTCATAAGGATTTAAACTTATGAATACATTTATCTATGATATTAAACTTATTCATAAGTTTAAATACCATATAGTAAGTGATATAGAGAAGTATTATTGAGTCTATAATAAGTTTGAGAAATAAACAGTTCAATTTCGATTGAGCCAGCCACTGAAAATCAACCAATTTTTCTTTGTAATGTGTTTAATATTTGTTTTCACCTAAAAACACATTTTATAAATGCAGATGCAGATCAAGACAGCAAGAACCTATGGTTTAATATTTATGTTATTTTTGCATTATTGTTTTGTATCAACATCTGTTTGCCAAAGTCATGCAGAGCATGGGGTCATTAAGCTTTCCATTTACAAAATTAAAGAAAAATATGGAAAATAGCTTCAGTTTCCATGTGGCTTTTCAAAGGAAAGCTGGATAATTTGTGATATTTTCTGCCAGTAACATTTTAGAGCTGGAGTCACATCAAGACCATTAAACATCTTTCATAAAAAATCATGAAAATCTGATCTCTAGCTTTTCTTTCTGTACTGTAGCTTTCAGAGCTTGACTTTCAGAGATGCCAAGTTGGATGTCAAAACATACAGCTGAATGTTCCTCTACTACAAAAGTCTCCAGCATGTGTAGAAATTTGGCTGAATTAGAAAACTAAATATGCCTATAGTTAAACATCTTGAAGCCTTTTTGTACTGAGCTCCTGGCACTTAATTTTGATGGCTCTGTCATGTGCCAATTTCTAGTCAGGACTGTAGAAATTTACATTTGTCAACATTGTGCAATGCTATTTCCTACACATTTTATTCATTAGCTTATTGGTTGTTTCATTCGTTTTTCTAAACCTGCAAGTGCCAGAAGGACATATGGATAGTTCCATGGGGTATAATCATTTCTTCTCTTATGACTAGACATATTTGTTTTAGAATCAAAACAAAACCTAGCTGCTATTTTTTTTTTAACTTACTGTGAAAGACTATCATTTGTCAAAGTTCAAACTTTGAAGCAAACCTACTTTTTAGTTAGTATTCTTTGGCAAAAAAAAAAGATTTCAAGATGATAGTAAGAAATAAATTACCACAACATTTAAATTTATAACAAAAACTTTTATTAAAGGAATTTCAATGTTTCTTTGAGTAAAAGAAAGATAATTTAACAATTCAGTTAGCCTTGAATAACGCTATTTTATATTTACTAACTTTTTATATGTATGTATGTTCTCAATTTTCTTGTAAGTTCCTTGAGAACAAGCATTTCTTTAAAAAAATATTATAAAGTACTAGACACAATGTGGCCACATAACACTCAAAACATATTTGTCACTTAGTTGGTTAGTTGAGCTTTAACAAGTCTTTTGAGACACAAAACCATTACATTTCCATATTACAAAAAGGAAAACTAATTACAAATTATGAATCTATGATTAATTTTGAGGTTGGTCATAGTGGCTATGAAATATATGAGTAAACTTGTATTCCTTCATGTTAATCCATTATCCTAAGTATAAAAACTTAACTTAATATTCCTGTAAAACCAGATTTAAATATTTGACTTCTTTTTCCACACACAAAACGACATAGATTTCAAGGGAAAACAGTTGCCAGTTGAACATGTATTAATATGATGAAAATAAGAAAATTTGTGAGAGACAACCATGAGTCTAAATAATGACTTTGTTTCTTACCAGCTTTACAAATTGCTATAAGTTACTTAAAAGTCTCTAAGCCTCATCCATGCCCCTTATTGTTTTCTTTTTTTGGTAATTTAATGATATAATAATAATTGGCAAAATATACTTTGGGACTCAATAAGGGTTTTTTTCCCTTCCTTGGGATAATCAGAGGTCTATATGCAATAGTTTTATAAACAATAGTTCACTCATTGTGAAAGAAAATGATTGACAAAAGTACAATTATATTTGAGAATAAAATATTATTAAATGATTTATTTTATCTAAATAATGTACAGGAAATTATTAATAGCTGAAAGTAAGAATAATCAGAACAGGAAAAAAACGGCTTCTTAAGTAATTTAACTTAAAACGAAGACTAACATTTTAGAGAAGATAATATACAAATGGCTTGTATGTTTTTCCCTAGAAATAAAACTAAAAATTGTAAAGAACATTTTAAATCATTTTTACCAATGATTTGTTTCAACCAAATGCCAAACCAATCAAAAAGTCACTCAAGTGATGTTTTACATAAAGGTAAAATGTATGATGATATAATATGGCATGTTTTAATTCATATTTGACTTTTAGTATCATCATAAAGGTTGCCATTTTTGAAAAAGAATATTGGAAGGCTTTATCAATTTTCTCAAGTTTCTAAATTAATCTCTGATGTATACATCATTGTCTTTTAATTTTATTATTTTCGGAGACAGGGTCTCACTGTGTTACCCAGACTGGAGTGCGGTGGCACAATCCTAGCTCACCGCAGCCTCAAACCTCTGGGCTCAAGGGATCCTCCCACCTTAGCATCCAAAGTAGCTAGGACTACATGGGTGTGCACCACCACTCTCGGCTAATGTTTAAATTTTGTGTAGGGACTGGGGTCTTACTCTGTTGTCCAGTCTGGTCTCATACTTCTGGCCTCAGGCAATCCTCCTGTCTCCCACGTGCTAGGATTACAGGCATAAGCCACAATGCCAGCCATGTTATTTGTCATTTTCTTTTAAGGCTTCATTTTCTTTTTTTCTTCAATTGTCAGTTGGTCTCACATTGGAAGATACTGATTGTCAATAGCTTTAAATGTAATTCTTTTTTTTCTTTTCAACACTTCCTTTGTCTTCACAGACCAAGATAGAAACATTGAAATTCAAAATTTGTATTTTCAATATACTAATTACAATTCCCATTACCATGACAGCATAGCAAAGATGTTAGTGTTAAGTGGTGTGTGAGGTGTGATTAGTGACTAATTTTATTAATTTGTTAGTGGAAATGATCTGGTTAAGACAATTTTTCTTCCCTACATAAACTTCATAATTGTGGGAATTCAAATATTATAAAACAAGGAACTATTATCACATTGTATAATAGTAAATTTAATTTACTATTAAATTGTAATAAAAAACCAAGTTATAACTACAAACCTGGAAGCACTGGTGATTTGCTTCAGCTTTGATTTAAACTGTCTTGGGGATGCAGAAGAATTGGAATTTCATAAGATAACAATAGAAGTTTGATCTTTTACCAACATATGCCCAATTTTCACAGTGGGATGCAAATATTTCTACTGAAATCTTAAACCTTGGCATATTTTGAATATGACAACATATTTCATTTTTTAAATATCTTTCTGCTTATGTTCAACTTTAGTTTTACTTAATGAAAATAAAGCAAAGTCAGTCAGTCAATGACTATTTATTGAAGATGTACCCTGAGCCAGGCACGCTAATCTCTCCACCACATATGTTTTCACAAAACAGGGACAGACATTGCTTTCACGGGTTACGCAGAATCAAGGATGAAGAACTTTTGAGCCAGTGCTGGTTTTCATGTCACTTATTGCTTCTGCTCAGTTTCTCTTTCAGCTTCCATCTGCCCAGCGAGACATGCCCCATCCCTATCTAACACCCTTTTGCTCTCTAACCCCATGTCCTGTGAGTTCCTTGCTGTTTTATGGCCCTCAGTTTCTGGAGATTTCCTGCTGTCCCTAAATACACTGGTGTGCTTCTCTTGCAGGGATGCGGCTCTAGCTGCTTCCTCTGCCTAAAATACTCTTCCTACATATATGCAAATGTCTCACTCGCTCATCTCCTTCAATTTCTACTAAAATGACACCTCCTGGTTAAGTTCTTACCTGACCACCTTATTTATTGCTGCAACACCTGCCTCTTATCTCCATCTCTGCTTTATCTCTGTAGCACATGTTAATTTTTAGCATTTGTGTGTTATACCTCTCATTTTCTCAATAGTTGTTTTTCCCCAACTGTATTATGAGCTCCACGAGGGGAACAATTTCATCTCTTTCTTCACCAATTTATCCCAGTAACTTCATACATGCTCAGTGAAGAAATGTGGACAGACAGACTGAATGAGTCAAACATTCATTCTCAGAACCACCTTAATTGTGTTTTAGATGTTTGAATTAATAATCATCATCAGGAGCTTATAAAAGTGAGATAAATTGTAAACAATTTTTCTTATATATTTGAAATATTAAAAAAAGGAAAGGTGAGATTTAATCTTAAATGAAGAAAAAGGTCGTCATTTTGCTCTATCAATCAGGAAATGAGCATAACAGATTTGCTAGTGGCTGCCTGAAGGGCCCCTCACTTCAGAGAGTGCAGGTAAGCACAGAGACAGGGTGTGAGCAGGGAGCGCCGCTTCCACCCTCAGGCTCATCATCCATTGCCTCGGGATTGCTATTTTCACACCTGAGTTCTCTCTTACAAATCAACCTAGGAAGTAGTGTTTATGTGCTCTACACATGTGCAGAGATTTGTGCAGACCAAATTAGTAATTATTTGATTTAGAGGATGATATGTCTCAATACAGTGGCAGAGGCAGTCAGTTGTGATGTCTAGCTCAAAGGGAATCAAAGACAGGCCATCAGCAGAGATTGAGGAAGCAGCATAGATCTGTTGCTTCCTGAAAAAGATAAGGTAGACATAGACTTCTGATGGTGGCCCAAGGTATTTCCCTTTTAAGAAAATGTTTAATACATTTAGTAACAGATATGGGTTGAGTATATACACAGACCTATGCACACATACACATGCACCTATGGACACATATGTATACATATAAATATATATACACATATGTTTCAATGTATGTACATGTATTAAACCAGATAAACATCAAATATGCAAATAAATTAAACTTAAAATGTAAAATTATATATGCTATAGAAGCATTGCCAAGAATCAATTCATTTGCCTGTACACTTAAACCTAATTATTGCATATTAGAAGAGACAAATGCCCTTTATAATTAAGTAAATTAAAAAGTAATTTGCAACCGAGGGAACCTAAACAAGATATTTGCATAATTCTTTAAGGCTGATCGTACACAAACTGGTCAGTAGAAATACTGGAAGCATACATTTAAACTTAATTTAAAGCATGCAATTATAGTTTAATTATCTGGGAAGCAGCAAAGAGACAGCTTGTTTGAAGGATCTGAAATGGGCACACAAGGGAGGCTCCCTCTGGTGCCAAAGACTCAGGTTCTCTCCCTAACTGTGGTGCTCATTAGCTGTGTTCTTCCTTGAATAGAGAATTTTAGTTTTACCTTTGTTTATATGATAGCACAATCTATAAAATAAGAATAATCAAGTTCATTTTGTCTATATTAGAATTAAAACAGCTCAAAGGTGGTTTCTATATCCCTGCACTGACTTGGATATCCAGTGGTTTTCAGTCCTTGTTCCATCACTTATCAAATGTGTGACCTTAAAGCGGAGGGGACTCTATTTTCTGAAAATGTTATGAATTGATACCAAATAAGATTTAGTGAGGACTGTGACAGACAAAATCTTACTTAGGCACCCATATATTTATAAAGTACCTGGAACACTCTATGTATTCAACTACATTAAATATTTTTATTACTTACATTATAAATACTTCTTATTTATATTCTAAATGCTTACATTTTATGGTTTCACTTATATTTATTTGTATTTCATATTAATTAGTATATAAGAATATTTTATTACTACTAACATAAATGGTAAAGATATTGCTAGAATATTGGAGTAACTACAGTTGATATGATACTGTGCTAGTTATCCTTCACCTGATCATCCAGATCTCATGTCCACCTTTCCCTTCCTTTCTCTGCCCTCAGTTGGCTTCTGGTTAAAGGGAGACATGCCCAGACAATCAAGGAAGAGAATCTTGGAAATGGAATTTTGCATTTATTTTATACTTAGCTGTGTACATCTAGGAAAACAGCCAACTGTAGGCAAAACCAACTCAGATGTTCATGTCTCATGGGTTCTGACAAAACTATTTCCTTCCTTACCTCCTTATTCTTGGAGGTGCTAACAGATTCACACTGTTGACAATCTGTTAGGGCTACATTTTACCAACTCTGATCTGATTTCATCCCTTACTTCTTCCCACAATTCTGTATGCAGTCCCTCTGTATTCTGTGTGACTCTAATGGCCAGTATTCTGATCTAGAAGTGGCCTTCAATCCTTCAATATAGGATTTGGGACTGGATTGGGAAATATATGCTTCACACTGATATCCCAAGCAGGCGGTATTATCCTAATTATTCAAATTAATCTTATCAGAAGGAGCTAGCCAGCTTGCTTTAAGCAGACAGTAAGGGAAGGGTCCCCCAGAGAACCTGCTACCTGTTCCACAAGTGCTTACACCAGATGTTTTGTGCAGATAAGGGGAGTTGCAGAGTGGGGGGAGGGGGCTCACCTGAACATGCCTGCAATGGAAAATTCCATTTCTTAACACATACACAGTAAGGGAAATAAATCAATATGGAGTGGCTCAGACTAAGGGTCCATGTGCACCCTGGAAGGGCGGGTGGAGCTACCAGGAATTCACACCCTATACAAATAAGGAACTCAGCCCCTTCAGGTTGGATATATAAAAGCCCTTGTATTCAGTTGTGAGGGGGCAACCAACAACCTGCTTTCAGGACCCCTCCTTTAGCTGAGAGCTTTCCTTTTCACTTAGTAAATTCTACTGCACTCACTATTTGAGTGTCTATGTGCCTCCTTCTTCCTTGTTGTGAGACAAGAACCCAGACCTCGCTGAGCTAAGGAGCAAAAAATCCTGCATCATCGTGACGTGGAAGGGAAAGTTTTTGGAGATGAAGTGCCCATTGTACCTGATGGCAGCTGAGATAATAAATGCTGTGAGTAATAGCATTTATATAAACAAGTTGCCTCTGAATACACTGGATGGTTTACCAAACAACAACAAAACAACAAAGTGGGCCTTGAATTCCTAGCACTGAACTGCTAAGTGGAGATTCCTAGAAGAAAACTTCCATGATGATCTTTAAAACAACCTTTATTGTTTCTTGTATTTGTAGGACATGTGTGATTAAAGATCAGATCTCAAATATAATACCGCAAAACCAGTTAAATACAGGACTTCACAAGTTTTATGTTAGTTAAAGCACTGATTGGGAAAGAATGGAACCTTGAGGCTTGGAATAAGCATATTTGAACAGACAGATAAAACAGGATTGTGAACAACCTACTATCCCTGAAGCTTCGTTGCCAGAGATAGCTACCTATTCTCTCCTATCTGATGATTGCAAAGAGATGTTTAATGACTTCACCTGGGACAGATATCCCCTCCTTTCAAAGTGTCCATGTGCAGGCTTTCTCAGCCAGGGTCCAGCAAGAGAATTAAACCTTATGGAAAATTATGTGAGTGACTATTTTCTCAAATTCCCCAAGGATTGTATATAGCTAGTCCCATTATAGATGGATAGGAAGTAAGTTACTTCATCACATACAACAAATTCCTTAGGGCACTGGAGCTTAATTTTCTCTTGGAACCCCCAAGTGTGAACCCTTGGTTTTTGATCCAATGAGAGTCCCCCAGAAGGGAACATCAACGTGTTTTCTGGGAGAAACAGATGTCAAAGGAATTGGAAGCACACGCTACTTTGTATCAGAACAAGCCAGGGGAGCAACTGTAGGAATGGATTCCAAGGCAAATAAACCGAAAAAGTTACTATTTAAGGTTGGGTTGGTTCAAATTTTTTGATAGAGTTGTATTAATGTTGGATTTTGAATTTAATTTTTCAGCTCAAATGAGGGACCTCTAACAGTTTGTTTTGAGATCTCTTTGAAGGTTAGAGCTTATAGCCTATTTTTAATACAATTCACATACCAGAATTCCCTTGGAATAATACAAAGCAAGGAGTAAATTTAAAGAAATTGTCATGTTAGGATAAATTTTGTAAGCACAACTTGCTCACACATTATACAAGCCAAAATGTTCAAGAGTACAACTGAATGTTCAAATGTTTCATCAATAGACTTGAAATCTCTGATTTCAAAGGTTTAATTATCAGAGATAAGATGGGTGCAATTACTGCCACAGAGAACATGGATTATGTAGCAGTGAGAATGTTTTGACCCACATGGAGCTTTGAAGGTGGCAGCTTGAGCATGGGTTCTCAAAAAATGAAAGGAGTAAGCAGCCTATTAGGGTACTCTTTTTTCTGTATGATTCTGCTGGGTAGAATCCTGATTCAGGTTGGTATAGAGGAAATTTGTAGAAGCTTATCCATTTTATAAACTTAAGCCAGTTCTTAGACCTGAGTCCCATTAATGAGGCCATGCTGGGTCACCTGGATAAAGTTTCTGCAATGTGGATACAGAAGTATAGTGTAAACATTTCTCTAAGTCTTCGTCTGAGGAACCTGTGACCATTTTCTTCAGTGACTGTGCACTGTGGAAGGGGTAATACTGACATATTTTAGGGACTGTTAGATATTGCTACCATGTTTCACTGCCCAAAATGGGGGTTCTTTGGGGGAGCAATGATAAAAGAAAAGCTAATCTGAAATACCCAGGGACTCCAATAGGCTTTTATACACAACTTATACCTTGTTCCTAGTTTCTGAATGTGTAGTTGCTATAGATATATTATATAGGTATAAGATACATATAGATATATATAGATATAAGATTAACTTATAGAATATACACATTGGATTCTTGGCTTACTGTGTGAGTACTACTATAGTAGCAAATGCTGAGTGAAATCCTATGGGACTGGCCCTCCAACATACACACACACACACACCCACACACCCACTCACACATACACAAGTGAGCATGCGCAAATAGTGAACCATAGTGGTATTGCATCTCTGGAGGGTTTGCAAAGATTGATGCCATCATGAAATCTTGAAAGATGAAGGAATAATGATTCCAGTTGCTTATCTGTTCTACCTGGTAGTTTGTCCTGTGTAAAAGCCAGATGGTTTTTGGAGAAATACATTGAACTATTTTACGTTGAGTCAGATGGGGAAACCAAAGTGGCTGCCATTTCAGATGTAACTGTATGGGAAGAAAGCAACACAGTCCATAGTATCTGGTATGCAACTATTACTGAGGCAAATATATCCTTCTCAAATCCAATTTCTGAAAACATAAAGAAGGAGTTTACCTTAGCTTGGAAGGAAAATCGGTAGAGCTGCATTGCTTTGATTTGGACTATGTCAACTCTCCTCACCCTAGTAATGTGGTCTCGACAGGTCTGGCTCACCTTGATATTCCACAGAATATACCCCAGGATCAATGTCGATGGCCTCATGCTGAATGAATCTAATGCGCAAGAAATGCCAAGTTTCTGAATATCAAGTTGCTTAGACACATGAGAGAGTGGGTGATAGACTCACGATGATTCAGAGCCTGCCATGTAGTTTCTGTCACACAAGGGCTGGTGTTCTGCATCATGATGTATAATCTTGTCTGAAATTAAAGACAAATAACTGCACCTCAAGGAGCAGACCTTTCTGCCAGGTCCTTTCCATGTGCTGAACTCACCACTACCCCATCTACAAGTTACTTGTATGGCTCAAAGTATTGAGTAGAACCCAGAGTGAAACAGAGCTCTGCAGCAGGCCTAGCCCCTATGCTTTGTAGTCTTGCCCTAACTATTCAGTGGTAACTGAGGCTGGATCATTGCTTCCTCACTTCACTGTCAGGGATCTTGCAAGCTGTGCCTCTCCAAGACTACAGTTCCCGTAGGGCAGTTCCTACTTGTGGTGGCTCACCTTATGTGTCAACGTAGCTGGACCACAGTGCCCAGATATCTGAGGCTAACCGCTATTTCAGATGTTTCTGTAACATTGTTCTTGGATGAAATTTACATTTAAATTGGATGACTTTGAGGAAAGCAGATTGCCCTCCATAATGTGGGTGGGCCTCATCCAATCAGCTGAAGGCCTGTATAGATGAAAAGACAGCTCTCCCCAAGCACAAGGGAATTCTGCTAGCAGAATACCTTCAGACCTCATCTTCAATGTTGGGTCATCCTGGTTTCCAACAGACTGCCTTTGGACTTGAGTTACATCTCTTTCTTGAGTCTCCAGCCAGCCAGACTAGCCCATCTGATATTAGACTCACTAATTCTGTACAATCACATAGGCCAGTTATTTAAATAAATCTGTTTATACATATACCCACACACAAACACACACTTCCTATTGCTTCTGTTTCTCTGAAGAACACTGGCTAATACAGTCTCTGAAGAACCCTGGCTAATATATATTTGTGTGTATATATATATATGTACATTTCCTTAGTGAGATTTAAAAACACTATTTTCTTCTCTAATTCCTTCCACCCACGGAATCAATACTGCTTTCTGCTTTGTGTAGCGTAGGCATCTCACTTTTCCCTGTTCAACCTTGTCCAGAAGTCTACAAGTATTCTCTTCATTTGAGTTTCTTTTAAACTTTCTAGGGTAAGTTCATGTGTATGTGGACCCCTGGCTGAGAGATGCCTTATCATCTTTCTATTACTTTATTTCTATATCTGTACACCGTTCAGCTCATATTTTTAAATACCAAAAGCAAATAACATAGTCTGTCTTCTTTCCATTTATGTATGTATGTATGTTGTTTTTTCTTTACTATGTCTTTATGGCAGGAGGGCCTCTGACTGGAACTCATCTGATCTTATAGCATAGTCTAGGCACAGACACACTGATGGTTTATCAGTCAGCATAAGACAGCAATCCAGGAGAGCAAAATGACCCTATATTGTTTGTACTTCTACGCACTAACAATATCTCTCCTTCCAGAGATCAAAAGTATAGGACTCTATGAAATGATTTCTAATGCCAACATTCAATACTCCCACCTCCATCTTACAGTCCAGCAATAACAATATATGCAAAAAAAAACTATTTTATAAACAACTTTGAGGACTCATGTGTACATCTAATTCCCCACCTCAATAACCACAATTAGGGTTTTGATATGAATGATACTAAATGATTTTTCTCAAGTAAAGATTCAGGGAGATTTCATGATTCACTCCCTCACCTTCCATATGCAAATACACTCAAGTCCGATTCATTCTCTCCCTTTTCTTCTGTTTTCTCATCTTTGTTCCATTGTCTTTATCTGATCTCACTCACCATTTTTCCTTTTTTGAACCATTTCAATAGCTTCATAACTTATACTTCCTATTCACTAAAAGTTCCGTATAATCTACTTTCTACTCTAGTAGAATATATATTCAAAAACTGTGAGTAACTCCCACTTCAGAAACTCTGTATTTCCCTCCTAGTATCCCTACAATTAAGAGTGAAGTCTTACTAAGTCTAAGACATCGTTTCCATTTAGTCTACTTTAACCTTTCCAGCAAGAGTCCACTTCGCTCATCACCCTGAAGCCATACTGGACTTGTTTCTCACTATAGAGTCTTTACATAAATAATTCCCTTAGTCTGGAGAACTCAAACTTGTTTTTCAAGTCTTAGCATAAATGTCATTTCCTCCAGCAAGTTTTCCTGCCCTTCAGTCTGGGATAAAATTTCTTGATATATTCTCTGGTAGCATCTTGAAAATGTTAAACTTACCTTTCTGGGTGCTTGCTTGATGCCTGTCTTCCTTCCTGAGTGAATGCCAGAGCACTATGCACACCTCTTGCTCTCAGCTCAATGCATTACATGTAGTAGGTATTAAATTTCTTTTTTAATCAACAAAGTTTTCATCAATTCCTCTCAGAGCTGTATCACAGAACTATAATATAATGAACACTCAGCTTTTGATGAAAATTAATGTAAGAAGTAGTCTTTTGAAGAATACCTTTTTGTTACTTTGAAAGTCTGATTTTGAATAACATACCAAATGAGCTTTTCTGTCTTTCATATAAAGAAGTTTACATTTTTAAATATTACATTAATTATTTTGATAGCTAGTCTGTTTTGCTCTCATTGCCAGAAAGCTTAGATATGCTTGCTGTTCAGAATTTTTTCTGAACGATTCTTGCTCTTACTCAAGATTTTCTAGCACAATTACACTTTCTCTTTTTCCTCCCCTTTACCCCTTCAATTACTACTCAGTTGTTTTAATGGGTCTTTTAAATCGGTGTTCTTTATTGTATTCAACCTCTGATCCTTTTTGGAATTAAGCACAATATAAATGATAAATTAAGAACAGTTGAAAACCGATTTCAGTGTTAAACAATTCCTCCAGCACCATTTCTCATATAACTTACTCTTATAACGAAGTCTCTCCAATAATTTACAATCTTCTTTGGAAGCTATCCTTTAACCTAAAAATTGAAACAGAAGGCATAAGAGAATTTCTCAGGCTTTTCAATAGTCACAATTTACAAAAATAGTAAATGCAGCTATTTCTGCTTACCCAATATAATATTTCTGTAAAATAGTACATACTACAAAGTCATATACTAATAACTGTAAGGCTTAATGAAAAAAATAAGGCTGAAAGTAGACCATTCAGGACCTGTGCAACAGAGAACAAACAGAAACAATAACAGTTCTAATGCTAGTGACATTTAAATGACACCATAAAGTCCTGATAAATAAAGGAATTCAAAAATCAATATATGATTTGACTTTAGAAACAATGTGAAAGTACCTTGATGGAAGAGGTGAAACTGCCTTTGCAAAATTATTGCAGTAATGGAGATCTGACTTGGCTGGTTCTATCTTGCTTCTAACCTCACAGGCTGACTGTCTTTGCGTATTCCTGCGCATGGGCCAAACTAACTTTGGAGGCAATTTGATTTATTGCTTAGATGATAATGGCCCTTCTCCAAAACTACACTGCTCTCGTAAAACTAATAAAAGACAACCAATTTAGGAGGATGAGAGGGGTCTGAATTCTACTAAGACATAGGCGTAAATAATTACCAGCCATTATTCTGGAGGTCATGAAATTTGTAGCTTCCCCAATTACCTCTGCAGATAACATCACAATTGTAGAACCCAAGATTGGCCTTTTGAGATGTCTTTTCAGGCTTTTGCCTTTCTGTCAACCTGATGGCCTCACCCTGACTCACCAACTGTCTTGTGGCCTTTACCCAGGAACCAACTCAAAGCAAGAGGACAGCTTTAACTCCCTGTAATTTCATCTCTAACTCAACCGATCAGCACTCTCCACTACCTAGCCTGCTACTCACCAAACTGTCTTTGAAAAACTCCTAACCTGGTAACCTTCAGTGAGATTGACTTGAGTAATAATTTTCTCTCCTGCAATGGTGTGGCCGGCCTCCTGTCAATTAAACTCTTTCTTTACTGCAATGCCATGTTCTCAGTGGATGGATTTTTGTCTGTGTAGTGGACAGGAAGAACTCACCAGGCAGTTAGAGAGGCAATAAAGAGGGGCTAAGGATGCTGATTATGAAGACAAACCATGACATTTACAAATTCAGGGAGAACTTTCCAGTAAATCTTTTCAAGAGAAATCACTGGGGTGCACTGAGACAAAGCAAAGAATCTAGAGTGAAATGGCATCGTACAATAAGTACTACATCCCCAGGCAACTTGCTGAGTTTAGCTCTGTTAGGGTACATGGTTCTAATCTGCTGTAACTACCTGCTGTTACTACTCGATAGTTTGATAGTTACCTGTGATAACTATCTGATACATAATGTTAACTTGCTGGGAAAAATTGTGTATTACTTAATGCAACTTCCAAGCTTAATAGATATTATCCTCCTATTTACCAAACTCTCATGTCCTAATTTTCATTACCAAACTATGTTTTGAGACAGACAGGACAGACTATATCTAATCTTTGCTCTAGAGGAACTAATGAATATAAAAGTAGTTTGAAGTGGTGCTTTTCAAATTGTAATATTCATACAAATCACCTGGAGATCTTGTTAAAAAGCAAATTCAGAGTCAGATTCAGTTTGTCTGGGGGGTGCCTGAGGTTTTGCATTTCTAATAAGCTCCTAGGTGATGCATATACTCTTGGTCCAAGAGCATACTTTGAGTAGCAAGAGTTCAAAGCAGCAGTCTCCAGTAGGAATATAATATGAAGCACATATGCCATTTTCAGTAGTTCCATTAAAAAATAAAAATCAATAGGTAAAATTAATATTGACAATATATTTTCTTTAACCTAATATCCAAAATATTATTATTTCAACATGGAATCAACATAAACATTTTACTGAAATATTTTGTATTATTTATCATATATCTCTATTTGAATGTTGCATCTTCGTCAGAAGCATCTGATCTATGTAGGTTTCATGAAATTTACGGTTGAAAAGTGGGTTCACATCTCCAGCTGTTCCAAACATATTTAAGGGTTTCTAATAACTGATTTCAATATCAGTTTTTAAAATTAAATTTAAACTTACTAAATTTGGTACCTAAGTTACCACATTTGAAATGCTCAGTTGTCATATGTGGCTAGTGCCTGCTCTGTTAGATGGCACAGAGATACAGAATATTGGAACAGGATAGTTTATGGTCAGTTTCAGAAAACAAGATCCAATTTCTCTTTCAGTGAATACTATTTGAACCTCTAATATGTGCCAGATATTTTGCTGAGTGCCTCAGTTAGATAAACTAAATGAAGAGAAACTTAATTTTAAGGCTATAAACATAACTTATGAAATCCAAGAGCAGGAATTCAGCTGGGTGTCAGTGATTGGATTTCACAAAATGTAAAACCAATAGGAAATGTATTTTCATTTTTTTCAGGCCCCACTTAGAAAGAACATATTTCTTCTTCTTACTCCCTGCAGGAAAACATCTGTCTCCTCTCTTCATCCACATGGAGTGTGAAGGACGTTTATCCCCAAAATCCTCAGGTTACTGGTTATTGACATATTGTCCTTCAGAGCTAAGCCCAGCCTTTTTCTCTTCTCTGTGATGTTAAAGCTGGGGTCTGCAAATTGTGTTATCAGACTTACTTCCTAGGTGGCACCAGGTTTTTGCCTAGACTGTGGAGGAAGAGATAAAGGCAGGAAGATAGGAGAAGTGATTTTTATTTTTGTTCCCTGTCACTTTCACTTTGGCAACAGCAAATGACTATGGCTCCATTTTCTGTACTGTTTTAGCACCCTTATTTGCACGTATGCCCCTAATAGGTGTTATTTCCAGCTAGATCCCATCCTTCTCTTATCAGAGGAAGCCACATGGCATCATCTTAAGATGTATAAGGTTGTCTGAGCTCCTAAATTCCAGTAACACCATCTCTTCACTTCTGTCTATGGGTGTTAACTTCAGGGTGAACTCAAGTCTTATGGGTGGTAGTTCCTTCTTAGTTACTAATACAAGAGTTAGCTCAGCTCTGTAGGTGGTATCTGGTTTGTGAAGTTGATAATATGGGTTTTGTTTTTTGTTCTTTCAGTCCTCTAATATTTGAATATTCAATCTATTGTATTAAATCCCTTGTTTTAAAAATGCATCAAATGGTTTCTGTATTCCTAACTCACCCTGACTAATACACTTGGTGTAGAGAAAAACTCACTGCAAACCCTGAATTCAAATTCCAAATAACAGAAGAGAGACTCTCACTACCCTCTATTGTGTTAGGTGTCCATTCTGATAAAATCCACTGCAGCAAAGGCACCTTTTGTATGTATTTTAAAAAATGGTTGCCAGAACCCACCTGTATAATGTTGCAGTTGGAAATTGTTCCTAGAGAGGGAAATAATTAGCCACGAAGATATCTCAAAATATTTGTGCCTAAATGATAATTATATATTTAAAGCTCTGTATACTTGGTTAGATTAATTAGATAGCCTAGATTCACTTAGTCATCCACTGGTCAGTTAAACAAATTATAGCAACTTTCACCTACAGAAATAATTCCATTTTTACTTCTAGACTGTCACAATTAAAACAAAATCTTTTACCAGATGTTTTCTGATATTTTAAAATCATGGCGATATTTATGTAAATAAAATACAATTTAATTCCCCCTTTAGTTAATATTTCTTTTTTATATTTGTAGAAATATTCCTCAAAATAATTTCCTGAAATTCTTGTTTCTAACGCCTTTCCTTACATCTGCCATCGAACTCACTGATTTCAGGAATTCGTCTTCAGATCAATATAGAAATTGCTGTGTCAAGTCAACCATGACCTCTCTGTTATTTAGCCCAGTCTTACTTGAGCCATCAGCATCACATATACCCTTGATCAAACCTTCTCACTGAACCACTTTCTTCATGTGGCTTATAAGCCACGGCATTCCTCCTGCTTTCCCTTTTCCTGCGTGTACCATCTTTGTCTCCTCATCATCTAAATTCTAGGATGCCCCAGAATTTAGTCCTTGGACTGTTCCTCGCTCTGTACTCACTCTGTAACCTCATCAATTCACTTAGTTTTAAATAGGCTGACAAGTCCCAAATCTATACCTTCAGCCTAGAATTTTTCCCTGAATTCCAGACTCATATATCTACCCAATCTTTGAATCCACTTGAATGTTTAACAGGCTTGTCAAATTTACAAAGCTACTCAAAATATTTTGCAAAAAATAAGTATTTAAATGCAATGTTTAAAAAAGCATTTCTTGCTCAAACCCAAATCTGTCCCTTCTGCTCATTGCCTTCCCCACTTTAATAAATGTCAACTCGTATTTCCAATTACATAGCCTAAAGCCTGAGCTGTAACCTCACTCTTCTTTATCTTTCATACTCACATCTAAGCTGAACAAACCCTGCTGGGTCTACCATCAAAATATATGCCGAAACTGGCCACTTCTTTCCACCACCCACAGTTCCACTGTTCTAATGCAAGCCAACAATAGTTCTAAAAAAGATTATTTTATAGCTTCCTGATTGCTGTCTCTCTGCTTTACCTTGACCCTTGGAGCCCATTTCAAACACAACTGATATACTCAGTCTTTATTTTTTAACACACACTTATATACTCCTTATCATGTGCTTTGTATATATCAGCGCATTTAATATTTATCGTATTTCCATGAAGTAGATACAAGTATGGTCTCCCATGAGATGGGTTAGCCACAGTAAGGCTAAGTTAATCAACTGGGACTCTATAGTTAAATAATGTCAAAGGTGGGATTCAAGCCTGGGCTCTCTGGTACCAGAGTCCATTCTCTGAACCGCTATACTAAACTACAATACTTATTCCAACAAATATTAGATCATGCCAGTCATTGGATCTAAACCCTCAAATGAATTCCCTGAGCATAGTTTAAAAGGCCTTGTATGAGCTAGGCTTTGGTCACCTTTGGTCTCACAGCCAATTCACACTCAACTCCAGAGGCTGCTCTCTCTGCCTGGAATTCTTTTTCCCAAATGTCTACACGGTCTGTTCATTCACTTTTATCAGGTCTATATTTGAATACAGTCATCTCAGGGGGATTGATTCCAGGACCCCGTGCATACCAAAATTTAAGGATGCTCAAGTCCCTGATATAAAACATGTAGTATTTGCGTATAACCTACACACATATTTCCATATACTCTAAGTCATTTCTAGAGTACTTATCTAATACAATATTGTTTTTATTTGTATTTTTGTATTTCCCCAGTTGGTTGAATCTGCAGCTGCAGAACTTGCAGATAAGGAGGGCTGATTTTATCCCCTTCTCAATGAAGCTTTCTTTTATCCATTTGTCTAAAATT
Source organism: Homo sapiens (assembly GCF_000001405.40). Taxonomy (NCBI): domain Eukaryota; kingdom Metazoa; phylum Chordata; class Mammalia; order Primates; family Hominidae; genus Homo; species Homo sapiens. The sequence continues at coordinate 179,424,927 of NC_000004.12, read as the reverse complement.
TCCCACCCTCAACTCACTGTCTTGCTTCACTTATATAATTTTTCCTGGGCACTTTCTAACACATAATTGTTTTGAGTATTTCTCATATTTTTTGTCTCTCCCACCATCACGATGCAGTTTTCATGAAGGAGGATTTTTTTTTTTTCTTAACTGCTATATCCTCAGTTCTGGGCAAATAATTGGTGTTCGATTTGTGCAATGAATACTTAAAAATGAAAAAAAGATATGGGGATTTATCTAACTGACAACTGTCATTTGAAAGTATCAAATCCTATTTTGCATACATGTGTGACTTCTGTATTTACAATGTTTCATACTTTGTCTTCTGAAGTATTCATTAAAGAGAGGGGTCTTAATCATAAAGGGTTTCAATACTCAGGCACAAAGTACTATCAAACGATTGGGGACATTGAAAGAAAATATTTGGAAGTGAAAGAATTGTATGACTAGAGAGTAATAAGCACATGCACCACTCTGGATCTCCCATGACATTGGCTTGAAAGGTAAAAGCAGCACCTGGTTCATGGATGGGTCAGTGATTGCTCCTGATATTTTAAAATGTATTTTTCTTCAATAATGAGATTCTGGTAGGGAGGCTGTGTGTAGCCAGCAAATACTTTAAAGCAAAAATATCAGCATGTTTTGATGATCCAAATCTGATTACTACTGTTTTCTACCATGTAAATAGTGGGTGATATGTCAATACATTTTAAGTTCAGGAACAAACTAAAAGAAAAAAATGGAAGTAACAGAGAGAAGAAAGTAGGAAAAGAGAGTGAGAGAAAAAGAATAAAAAAAGACCTTAGATCTATACTCACGGAATATTGGAAAGAGACATTTTAGAAATTCAAGGAAGTTTACATAAACAAACTCCAAAAAATATATCTTTTAATTTTACCATTGAGCTAAGGAGTTTTAGAGGTAAAAAAAAAAAAATTGCAGTGGAAATTGACCATTTTCAAAATTCCCTATGTTTCCTCCAGTTCTTTGAATGTACAAGCCATTCAGCTAATGGAAGTGCCCTTGAGATTAGCTCTCAGACTTGTCCTGGGTTTCCTGGACTAAGTTTTCTTTGTTGTTTTGTTTTTTTTTTTTTCATGATTCTGTGTATATTTTCATCTTTAAAAGAAGGAGGGATTTTAACTCATTTAGTCATTAGTGTAAGCCTCTATGTTTGTTTCCACCATTGAAAGAAAGAGGAATTTTAATGCATTTAGTCATTAGTGCAAGCCTGGAATACATGTTTTTATTTTGTTTAAGCTAAAAAATTAAAAATAGACACATTTAGAAAAACAAAATTGAACCAATAATACACAGTAGTAATGCCCTTATACTCGATTAACATATGGTAGAAGGTAGTTAATAAGACTGTTTTCTAAATTTTGGCTGCTGTCCACATGTGGATGAAAATAAATCAGACTTCATAGTACCAAAAAAAAAAGTCACTTTGCTCCTCTGTCATTTCCCATTTAATAAGCCACTATAATTAAACTAGCTGGGATAAATAAACTTGTTTAATGCTTTGGGAAGTTTACAGCAACAATTTAAGGGACAGAATCAGTACATTTCTAGTTTCCCTTCCAGCTAACAGATGTGCAATCATACCAGAGTTGTGTATTTCTTCTTTAAGTAGTAGTAAATTTAGTTCTTTCTCTTCCTTAAAGTACAAAACAAGATAAAATCCCTTATGAAATTTTCTTGCAGTTTCAAGAGTGATGTGCTGTGGCTCCCATCACTGTGTGTTTTCTGTCACTATTGAGTAATTCAGAATAAAACAAAGGTGTGTGAATAGCCAGACAGATGTATATTTGACACTTCTGAGAGCAAACAGGATTTGTTTGGCATGCAGTCTCTTATTTTCTCTAGGGATTTGAGAACAGTAGAGGAATTTAATTTTGTAGGACAGTGTAAAAGTTTCTAAAATATATTTTATACAATATATATATAAGACAGTCATTGATTCACTGAAATAAGAAAAAGGGATTCACAACTGAATGATCTATGATGCAGTTGTCCATTTTCAGGCAGCCCCGTATGGCAACAAAGAATGTAAAAATACGGCAATCGTCTGTAAACTAACCGAGGACATTCTTCATTCTGTTGAGATGACATGTTTGACAGTTGTTGGTGCTACAAGATCTACGGAAGTATTGTCCATAAGTTTCAGAGCATAAAAAATTGTACAGCAAGAAGCTGCAAGAGCAAAATTCAATTCTTAACATTGTGTAAAATAAAAAAGACATTTTCCTTTGAACTGTGCCTTTTTTACCTGAATCTTTAGTGACAAATATGTTAGTTTAAATGTAGTAAAGAAAAGGTACAGCATATCAGAAGTTCACCATTTGTACGTTTTACTTGAAAGTTTAGATATTAAATAAAGTAAATAATATTTTGGTAGATTTCTTTGGTAATATTTCCTAATTAATTATATAGCAACATTATCTAATATTGCTAATAAATTCTGTTCCTCAGACATATTGCTTATGCTATATTTCAGAAACCTTAAGTGAAATTATTTTAGAATTTTGAGAGTTGAGAGAGAAAGGGATCAGATAAGACTATTTCCAAGGATCAGATCAAGACTATTTGCAAGGATCAGATAAGACTATTTTCAAACTTTAAAATTTGAGCTTTAAAACAGTACAGTATATAAAATTTTAAAGAAGACTGTCATATCTATCAAATAGAGTTGAAAGACATTTGAACTCAGGTTCAATAATTCTGAAGTTGGGTCATAATAATCTATGCTTTACTTTAGCAGTTGATTTTCTTTCTGCTCTCTACCCCCATTCATGAAGGAGAGAGAGAGAGAGGAGAAAGGGAGAAGAGAAAGAAGAGAGAGAGAGAGAGGCTTTTGGAATAAATAACATTTGGGCTTCTTCTGAATAGTGCTGACAATTGAAAAGATGAATTATTTTTTATAGAGGAAGAGTCTGTGAAACTTCAAGCTTATTTCTATAATTCACTACAAGCACCTGCATCATCCTGCAAAATGATTTTATTTTTGGTAGCTGATTTGGGCATAATGAGAGTTTCATTATATTTCAGCATAGTAATTACACTCATGTATATAATGTTGAAGAATAATATTCACTCTTAAATTTTAGCATTTAGCAATTAAACACTTTTGGGGGGCATGGTTGTGATAAGAACTAAGTGTCTCAGTCCCAAGCATCTAAGGAATTTAAGTAAAATGCCATGGTAAAATGTATAGGGAAGATTTTTGATTCATAAGCAGGAAAATGAACCAAAAAGTAAAAACGAAATTAAGTTTAAGGAGGCAGACTTTAAAAACTTTAGGAAAGATAGTAATATTGCCCTAATTTTATTTATCTTCTACACTACATAAATCATTTTTGTAAGCAAAAGAAAAATTTCTTAAGAATGAAACATATTCTAGAATAATGCTTTACATAATGCATACAATATCTGTATGTTTTAAAGACAAAAAACACTTACTATTTCTATTTTTCTATATCTCTATCATATATGGTTACCAAAGATGAACATCATTTGGTTGAAGACACTGTATATTATTTTTGTATTTGTGTGTGTTCTGTAGACTGCATACATCACTAATAATGAAATGAGGCCAAGAGGACTTTACTTTCTTTTTTAAAAAAGTGAAACCATTGACCTCACATACACAAACACACAGAGAGAAATCCATGTATCCATTTCTTTCCCTGTCCTATCTACCTTGTTTCAAGGATAGAAATGTTTTTTGGTCTACCTAAGAGTAAGCATATGTAAACCCAAATAGTTACGCATTTTAAGTTGAAAAAAATGTGGCTTCAGCAAAGATAAGTACTATTATTTTTTCTTTTTAATAGATTTGACCCTAGTCCACAGTTTCCAAAGATTTCTATATTAATAATAAGAAAAGTTACTTTAACCATTATGCATTTCATTTGAAGATTAATATAATTTCATAATTGAGAGTCAAACAATTTGATGACTTGAGCATATTTTTATTTGCAACATTTGATCATTTTGTCCACCAAGTGATATTTTGAAGGCATTTTTGAGGTGATTAAAGAAAATGTTCTCAGTACACTGACATTAGTAAAACTATCATCAAACTAGAATCAGCAGAGTTTATTTCCTTTAAAATTAGAGTCCAGAAATTCACTCATTCAGCTTAAGGTTATTGCATATAGAATTTTGACTGCTAAGAAATGCCTTCACTGCTTTATAAAAATATAGTATAAAGAATAGATAAATATATGCCATTTGCTCAAGTCATCATTTTACGTAAAAATGTCTTCTGTACTTGGAGTTCAATATAAACCTGTGTGAGTTAACATGTGTGAATTATGCAAAATAAGTAAATTGCTTTACTTCCTGGATGTTTTTTATTGGTAAAGAATGTTGCTCATTTGAAACAGTTACTTTGTTTAAATCATAAGGCATTATTGGTGCTCATCTAGACATAATTTATTGAGTGAATATAATTGTGTTAGTTTATAAAAATTGTATTGATAAATAAAAGTGAACTTTCAAAGAATCATAAAAGGTGTAATATGAGAACATACATCCCTCAAAAATTAAATTTATACAATGTATCTATATAAGTGCACAGCTACATAGCTATATACTATGTTTTTACCACTTTGCCTATATCTATATGACATATTTGTAAGAATGTATATATATCCTCAATATCAAGATGTAATTGAAGAATTTAATACATTCTCAGATGTGGTGTGCTATGTAAAGCATACATTCAGATTATTATTAAACTTAAATATTAAATAAAATTTTTCTATTTTTGCTAAATGTCTGATATTCTTCAGACATAGCTTTACTGTTATTTCATCCTTTTATATGGATGAAATTCTTATTATACCAGCTATTCAACCAGAGGAAAATATCCAGAGTCATATAGGAACTCAGTAGCTTCCAGATACATCTTTCATGCCTGCCTTTTTAAGATTCTGATAAGTTTCTTTTAGAAATTTATTTTCTAATAAGTTTCGCCCTCCCCTCATGGGGAGGTGCAGTTAGGAAACTTATCCCTGCAACTGATTTTGGTAACACTACACACAAAAAAAGACTTACAATAAATGTCATAAAATCTTAGATGTGTAAGAAAATTTTGAGATAATTTTATATCAGATAAAACCCTAAGTAGTTGTAGTTTGTTGCAATCAGGGAATAAAGGAAATTAGCTCACTACAGATGGAATGGTTTAGGGGTATGAGCTTTGTATTGGGAATCAGAACACCTGAATTCAAGATCTGATAGCAGTTAATTTTATGAGTTTTCTCATCTGCAAAAATGTGTCTAAATGTTCTTAACCCACATATAATGATTTACTAAGAGTTTGTGAAAAGGTTTAGCACTATTCCATGCACACATGTAGATGTCAGTATGTATTTCTTTACCTTATTTCTTCTTTTCATCTATGTAAATTGATATGGAATAATAGCAGATATGGAGGTCAAGGAAAAAATTATATACACCAGAATGCCTTTCTTCTGCTCCTGACTCTGTTAGACCTAAGACCAATAATTAATCTATATTCAAGGAAAATATAACTTTAACAAATTATAAACATTTTAGATATTCAATACATCAAAAATAAATTAATGCCTAAACAACCTTTTTCTAATTTATTGAGAACAAATATTTAATATGTCTCTAGAAGGTAAATACTAATTCTCAAGGGCAACTTTATATTGTCTTTACAGATTTTTCAGACTCCATAGAAAAAGAGAACAGAAAAACGTATTGGTCAAACATATTGGTCAGTTCTTTCATCCTGTAATTGCTAAGGCATATATGAAAATTACCCTGTCATCATGACCCTGTCTGCCTAAGAGAAAAGCCATATATGCTACTACAGGGGAACAGAGAATGGCTTCTGAGTGCTCAGAAGAAGAAATGCTACCATCTAATTAGAGTCATCATGGACAGCTTTATTCCAGATCTCCATTTGAACAGACTCTTACTGGATGTATGGCAGATGTGTATGGAGATGTGTTGTAAAGCGCAGAAATGTGGAAGCAAAAAGCAAAAACGTAGGTAAAGGTAGATACTAAATTCAAAACAGCAATTCAAAACAGCAAGTAACTCCGATGATTGGCATTAAGTATAGAGTGAGAAGCACTGGACACTTATGGTGAAAACATTGCCTAGGTCGAAGAGAGGACTTCAATGCTAATCTAAGACATTGTAGAAAATGGTGACATTTTGAGCCTTCGGACATATGATTAGTGTTACTCTTTAAAATATCAATATATCATTATTGTGCATGATGGTATAAAGGAGAAAGGATTAGGGCAGGAAAACCAGTTTTAAGAGTATTTTTCTTATGTAGACCATCATATCTGGGAAAGTTACCACAGTGACTTTGAGCAAGAACAATTTGGAAGAGGTAATGCTTTTGAAGGTGATTTAATAAAAATAGAAAACTAGACTTTCAAGGAAATTGTATGGAAAACACACAAATTGCTCTCTGAGATTTCAAGCTTGTGTGGGTGAACTCCTATTAGTGGGCAGAAGGATTTCCAAGAAAACAAAGCCTGTTCAGATACACGATAAGAAGATAAATTCTGGCTATATTCATTTTGAGAAACCAGAAGCAGTCATTTTTGAGATTTGATGTCCTTGTGGCTGCTAAAAATGAATGGTAGGTAATTTCTGTCTCATGAGAAAGAGAGAGAGAGAAAGAGAGCTTAAAATAAAAAACCAGGGATTAATCTTCTGGGAGTAAATTTAGGAAGTGGGTCAGGCATGGAAGGCTCAGAGCAGCAGGGAAGTAGCTGAAGTACAGAAGCTAAAGAAACAATTCTATTTAAGGAACCAGAAGATAAATGGAATCCAGTGAAAGAATCTGTTCAGAAAGGGTAAAAACATAAGAAGATGTCCAGAAAGAGCCGTGCTTATGAGAAAAAGGGGTGAGAAGAGTTTCAAGATAGAGGGCCACAGTGCTCAGTCTTGGGGAGGACAAATTGAAAGAAGGCATAGAAAAACCACTGAGTTCACACACACATTAGGAATAGAGCAGTGCAAGGTTGGCAGTTTCAATATTTTGGGAAGGATGGAGGCAAGCCTGAAAAAGGGTAAGGTGGTATTAGAAATTGAAAAAGATACAGACGATACTGAATATTTCTCTTCTGCTTGTTAGTTTGTAACTTTGTTAATTTTTTAAGGTGAAAAGTGTTCATTTATTGAGTTATGGCTCATTGCAATAATTAAGATTCCTAGTTATGTTATAAAGATGGATATTTTGCAAGACAGAAAAAGCAAAAGAAAAATTTTAACAGAATCCCTTCTGTCCTTGCCTACTACAACTTCTGCAATTGTTCTGAAAGCTTTTCTACCGAAGCAAATCATCCTTAATCAGCTTCCTGCTACCCTGTCACGTGATTAATTCCAGGTGGTTTTCTTTTGATTAGAACAAATTTATGGAAACTCTTACCATCTGATACTTTGAACTGTAAATTCTGGATTGTGGTTTCTGATGGCAGATTCTTACAGACATCCCAGAAACAAGCACATCTGCAGGAATTAAAAGAAGCCTTTTTGTTTCTTCAGATAGGAAGAAACTAACTCTCAAATAAAATCTATGATATTCGGGGTTGGCATCAGTGAAGTATCAAGTAGTTAGGCTCCCGCACTGTAGTTTTGTAAATGGAGGAAAAAAATCACCTATGCTTGGATGCTTTGTCGGGCACTACATTTAGAGCAACAGATTTAGCAATGTTTCTCAGAACAGTAGTTGTATCTAACCTCCTATTTCCAGAGATTGTTATTTATTTACTGCTTTGTTTCTCTGATATCTCTGCGGTGGGGCCATACTGTATCTCATGATCCGACCTTGACTATCTCTTGCACCTTTCCTCTCTTGCAGTTTACACTCTATCAAATCACATATTCCATTTGTTTAGAAAGCTCCTTCTAGCCCAGTCTGACATATTTCTATTAGTTCTTCAAAACTCAGACCCAATATTATAGTTATCATTAGGGTTGACTTCTGCACCTGTCTCAGAGAATCAATCATTTCTCCATGATGACTTTCTCTCTTGTGCATATGCTTATTGTTTAGGGGTGTATATGTTTCTGTGTGTGTGTGTGTGTGTGTGTGTGTATACACACACATAGATATCTGTCTTCTCAAATAGACTGTGAACGTCTTGAGAAAAAGGTTCCTGACTTGTCATTTGTCCATTTCCAGTCCTAGTCTGGTAACTGAAACAGAATAAGAGTCAAAGTATTTTATTTTCTATTGATTTTAATTGAGTTAAATATATGGCTTTAAAATAATAAGAAAGGAAGTTTAAAATCCTATTAATATCCTATCATTTTTTCTGGATATAAAATCTTCCTATTTCGTCTTAATTTATAACGTTGCATTAAAAATTATAGCTATATCCTGGGCTGAAACTTGCACATATTTATTGTAAGTGTATCAGAATAGCATTTAAATTGTTGAAATCATTTCAATGCCTCTCTGACTTTTAAGGTCATCAAGGAAAGAAGATAATCTGCCTGAGTGGGTCAACATTTTATAATCTAATGATCTTGAAGTCAGAAAGTTTCTTTTTTATGTTGAATAAATGCCTGTCTATTGTAATGTATATAGGTGATGGGAAACATTTTTAAAGCAATCAATAATAAATATCGAGTAGCTACTTTACAGAATTATTCAAACTAAACTCATCGAAAAACTTTTTGGCTAGCAGTTGACTTAAAATAGAAATAATTTTAAAAAGTGAAAACACTAATTTATAAACATATCTTTGAAGACTATTAACTAAACATAAGAACCTTCATAACAAGGTAGAGTTACTTATGAAGTTGCATTGCGCTAAGACATGTGAAAGTGGAAGGAAGAGAGTGAAACAGCTGATGGGGAAGAAACAGGATCCAGGGCCATTAAATGACTAGGTCAACAAAGAGCTACTAAAGTAAACATAGCAGGCATGTGGTCAAAGGCTGGGATTCTCACAGCAGCAAGTTGCCAGGAAATAATTTCCATTCAAATTGGAACAAGTATAAATCACAAAGCTGTGAGTTCTAGAAGATGGGAGAAATATGTGATATTTTATAGCCAAGAACAGTTGGCAGCATTGTGCCATTTCCTCTTTCCCACTTATACAACTATTTTGATAAAAATTACTATTTATTGCATATTTAGCACATGACAAAGGTATGCTAGCACTTTCCACACACAATCATATTTATTATTTTTAAACACTACGGCATGGCTGTGATGCCCATATTCTAGATAGGCAATCTGAGCCATAGCTAATTTGTCTAAGAATACAGAGCTAGTAAGTGACAGAGACAAGGTTTATGATCAGATAGCCTGATTGCTGAAACCAGAGACTTCAGCCAATGTTTACATTACATCTCAATTTCATTACATTACAATTATTTTATTCAGGAAGCTTTCATTAAATACCTATATGTAGAAGGTACTAGGAAAAAAGAAAAAAGAAACTGCTTTGTGAATAGTGCAGAGGTATTAGTCATTTAAATGACATAACACCTACAAATGCCAGTAGCTCAAGCAAGATTGAATATCAAAACTGTCAGGGAATTTCTGGGAGAGTGACTCATGAGGCAGGAAAATAGAATAAAAATTTCTGGGACTATCAAGGGATGTATGAAAAAAATCAATGTGCAAGTACAATATTTAGATAGCAGTCTTTGGCCTGGTGCAGTGGAGCATGCCTGTAGTCCCAGCTACTGAGTGGGCTGAGGTAGGAGGATCCCTGGAGCCCAGAAGTTTGAGTTCAGCCTGGGCAACATGTTTCCCAAACTTAGCTGGGAAAAAACACTATAAGTGAGTGTCAGGCATTTATTACAGGAAATACATTAACATCACAATGACCTATCATTGTGAAACCCCATCTCCAAATTTTTTTAAATATAGCTTTTTGGGGGTAATATAAGCCATAGTTATTATATGTTTCTTAATCTTGCTCAAATCAAACTTTTTACATAAATATTGTTTATCAGCTTTCCAAGTTTTTTTCAGATGCACTAATTATTGAATCCTCCTACCCACCTCTAAATCTTGCAGCAGGAATCCCATTTTACAGAAGGGGAAACTGAAGTTTTGAGAGTTTAGGTGACATAGCTAGTAAGTATCAAAGCTAGAATTGGTTCTCAGTTCTCCCAGCACTAAGTTTATCATTCTTTCAAATAAACCACTGCTTCTCAAACTTTTCCTCTGAAGTGCTTCTTAAAGAAGAGGACAATGTATGTATGTGCACATCCCCGGGATCTGGGCAGAGAGCCTGAAGCAGCCCTGAAAACACAAAGTTCCTTTGAAATTTTCTGTTTTATATAAAACATAAAATGAATAATTCTGCTGTTTTTATATGCACATGCAGGTGGAGAACCTTTTAAAGGTGCACACATTGAAAACTTTTTGACCTTTAGTTAAGTTCGATTCTTGAAGTAGCGCTCTATTCCTCCTTGACATTTAATACCTTTTGATGGCCATCAGTATGCAGTACTTATAAATTGGTTTGAAAATCTGCAGATTTATACTATGATAAAAATTTTTTTAAATGTACTCTTTAGGTCAATTTTGCTGTTTACTACAATATTTACTGTTTTATCTTCTATAGACGTTATTTGGGATTTTGCTTCTTTCGTTTTTCATTTCCTTGAAAAATTAGGGCTGGTGTTGGGGTTGGGCTTCATGTTAAAGTCTGTATCAGTCTATTTTCTTAAAAATAGAAAGGAGAGCACATTATTAGCTAGTCTTAAATCTAAATCATAGATTGAGAATATTTTCAATGACACCTCCTTGTGATGTTAATGTATTTCCTGTAATAAATGCCTGACACCCACTAACAGTGTCTTTTTCCACCTAAGTTTGTGATGCGCCAAGCCTTGAGTCAAATAATGCTTAAATAACAAGAGGAATGGGAAGCGAACAGGAGCATGGACAGATACAAGGGTTGGAAAAAATGTTCATATGGAGGCCACAAATAATTGATTATAACAATACTGGAATTGCCAACAGTATCCAAGAAAGAATTCCCATGCCAAAGTGAGCATTATTTGAGGGTAACTAGGCAAATGTCAAGGAGGGTGATCCTCTGAATGTGAGAGAGACAAGGTGGGAAGGAGAGGGAACATGACTCGTTCTGGAAGCAGACCTGACTGGAAGATGCTCAGGAAGCAGTCACAACCCGCGATTCTCCTGGCCTCCTAAGTCCAGCTTGTGAGGGCTGCTTCTGCTGTGTGATTCCAGTGGTCGATGTTTCACTGTGGGACATTTGAAGACTGGGTTCTAATCCTGTTTCTCACATTGTGATTCTGTGTTTTATTGGATAAATTATTCGGCTTTTCAGTGCCTCTGTTCTATCACATGTTACATGAACTTTTATGTCCCTCCCAGCTCCATGACTGTGGTTTATTTTCCATCCTAACCATTTTCAATCAGCTTCAGATAAGTTTCTCTTTCTCTGGAACCAAGAAAGGGTAGCAAAGCATAACTTTGAAATTTATTTTTGACCTATTCTCAAGGAAGACTGGAAAATAGTCTATTAATGATATTGAATACATTTACCTATGGTGGTGAACATTTGCATTTTTGATAGTGAATTATTTGGTTACACCATTGACACCTTTATTAATTTGCAAGAACTCTTTAAATATTGTGGCATAAACTCTCCTATATGTGTTACACTCATTTTTCCTACTTTTTAAAAATGTGTTGCCGTTTGCTTTGCTTTCAAAATGAACTTTAAAAAAGTTTTTCTTTTTTAAATATAGGGTTACTTCATTTTTAAATTATATTTATTTAGTTTTTAGATCTCAGGTACGTAAGATTATATTAATCATATGCCTAATTATGGTGCACCATTAACAATGGTTCATGTGACATGCCTCCTTTGATTGATTGATAGATGGATTTCTTTTTATCTCTATTCTCCAATCTTCTTCCTCCCCAGATTCATTATGCAACTACTCTACTGTATTTGATATCTATCTCTCTATCTCTTCTCACATCGTTTTAATTTGCATGCATTCCATAGGTTGTGAATCTCAGTCTGTTTCTTCTATTTTTCACTCAGCAGTTTTAAGTTCAGCCATTGCCCTTAACTTGTGAGATCTGATGCTAATTTCAAATAGATAATGTCAGAATTGAATTGAATTGTAGGTCACCCAGGCAGTGTCAGAGAATTGGAAATGTAGTGTTGGAAAAGAGACCATGTATTTGATGTCAGACTGCTCTGAGTAAAACTAGTTCATTAACATTGTTTCAGTTTTGAAAATAGAAAAAATTGATGTATGCATACAGTTGGTATTGTTGGTAAAATTACACTTATATATTTTGATTATCTGGTCTGTAAATACATTATGACAGTCTTGCTATTCATTGTCATTGTAAAATTATACTTAAATTTTCAATTACACTTTTAAATTTAGAACGCATCTCTCGCAAAGCACATTGTTATTTTTACAAAACTTCTGTGTTTTCTTCTTCTATACTTTTCTTGGTAACCAGTAAATTAGGTAGTTTCTTTCTTTTTTTTTTTTTTTTTGTCTCTTAACTCCACATTTCTGACTTCCCCATTGCAGCCAGTACATAACTCATTCCATGATTTCTTTTTTGGGCTGGACTGTCTTGTCTGATTTGCAATAAGTTATACCACCACCAGGAAAACGAATCAGAAAACCTTGGGTTTCTAGATCTAGAAAATATTGAATTGTGATTCAGTGGTTTCCATAAGGAGGTAATGGAATTTCAAGGCTTGCATTTCTCTTCTGTTTCATTCACTGGGTTTTTGCAGACAACCAGCTAAGAGTTTTCCTGCTGAGAAATGGAGTGCTGAGAGAGATTTATTATTATTTTGGTATTTCATATGAAAACAACTTTGATTTACTGAACATTGAAAACAGAAATGTCAAAAATGACATATTTTAGAAAGACAACTTTCCTTATAAAAGTGATGTTTTAGTTCTTAACCAAAGGCAACAAACAAACAAACAAAAAGGTAAATGAGTTGCTTAAGGAATAATGTGTCATCATTCAGAATGGTTAAGTGTATAAAGTGTTTTCCCTGTAAAGTATTTCTATTGATTTATTAAATACACAGAAGGATCTTAAATCCGTTAAAAAGCACTGGGATGTCAGTGCTAAGTAATAGTAAGACAAGTATGAATAATACAAATAAATGCTGTTTAAGGGAGAACTATGCTCCTGCGGCTTGATTGTCACCAGTGACCTTAAGTGATACTGCAACTATTTCATGATGCTTTTATATAAATAGGCAAAACCAGCTTCACTCACTTGTATTTTCTCCTTATCTACTTCACCATCCACAATGGATTAATTTAATACTAACAATCCTAAAAACAATATTTCTTATATTTTTTGGCATAAGTAGTATGTTTTTACAAGGTGAGTAAAATTAGGCCTTTACTTGAAGCAAAGAAATCTAGATTATTTGTGTTCATCTGGCAGTTACATATTAAATCACATTATTTAATAAATATAATTAACCAAAATCAAATATCAGCATCATAGAAAAGACCAAAATGATTAGCCCATAATTCTTATTTTTTTATACCTACTCACAAATAATGAACATGTGTTAGAAGAGGCAAAATACCTTCTGTAGTGATTACAAGGTCAGTATATATACGAGAATGTTATATGAGGTGAGAGCTCAAACAAGACTTTTGTTCTTAAAACATAAGATATATTTTACATTCTTTTGGCTTTTGTTGGTCATTGTTTTAATAATCTAAACAATTCACTAAAAATGTGTGCTTGCCAAATTGAATATGATTTGTGACTCTGAAGATGCAAGGTTCTTTACAGGACTGGTTGGTGAAGTTTTCCTTTTATTTATGCAGCATTCTTCTCCAACAGTACCTGAAAACAACATCCTGATTTCCTGATTTTCCTTTCCTTTTCTTTCTTTGTGGAGATAAAGGTTTCACTATGTTGCTCAGGCTGGTCTTGAACTCCTGGCCTCAAGCGATCCTCCCACCTCATCCTCCCAAAGTGCTGGGATTGCAGACATGAGCCACTGCCCCCGGCCAACATCCCAGTTTTTCTACCTGTTCTCAGCCCATGCCAATTTTGTCTCTGGTTCACAGGCATGAAAGTCAGTCTTGTCCGTGATTGGACACTTGCTGCAAACTACAGTGATTGGTAGAAAAAAGATTATACGAGCCAATCAGAGCTTATCCTAATATTTTTATTAAAACATAGGGTTAAAGGAGTGCAATCTAATACCTGGTAGGGCCACCATGAAAGGAGAGCATTCCTGTAAAAGATGAAAGATGAAAGCAGAACTGAGAGATCAAGGGAGAGCAGTTTGATTCTGATGTTGTTTGAGCTTCTGGATCCAACTATGCCAGGAATTAATGACATTCTCTGGACTTTCCAGCTACTCAAGCCAATATATCCTCTCTTTTTCTATAGTTTGTGATAAAAAAGAATTGTAACTAATGCCGTTTACTCACATAATAGCCATGGATAAATCTGAGAAATCTAATTCGTTAACCTCTAAATGGTTTTCCCTGCCGAAAGCATTTGCTAATGCTAGGCAACTATGCAACCAGATTATCTCAGAGATCATGACTTTCAAGGAGTTGAGTACATTCTGCTTTAAAAAAAAAATGAATCAAATAGTTACAGCACCATATAAGTTGGAATGTATTGACTTTATCGCATTGCAATATAGTTATGCTTTCTTAATATTTGAATATTAGCCATGATTAGAACAGCTTGAGTTTCTTCTGAGAGACTCAGTTTCCCTTTGCCTTCTGAATTACTGAAGCCATACTGGTTACTGAAAATGGATAAAAAAATGGTTGCACTTAGAAAACAATTGAGAGTCTTTTCTTTTTCTTCTATATACTAACATTTAGTACAAAGTAATAGTCCCTAAGGGGGTGGCAACCTGTGTGAGACTGTATATCCATACATCTGTGTGTGCTTCTTGCTGCTTCTTTAATTATACCAATTTTTTGTGATTTAACTATGCTTGCTTCCATTCCATTGTAAGTGCTTCTCCAAATCTGATTAATCCAAGAGGATGAAGTGTATCATCTTATTTGTTTATTTTTTTTAAGTGGAAACAATACCTTTTCTTTTTCAAAATTGCAATCATTTAATTCAATATATCCTTTGGCCATTTAAATTGCGCTGATTTGCCCAAGCAACAAAAAGCTAGAAGCAAACACGAGGCCTGTAATGGGGAAGTAGCTGTCCTCTGCCTGCGTATTTCTAACATTTATTCTGTCTCAAAACTTGATCTTTCATTTTTAACCTGCTATTTTTCATTTGTTCTTCTCTTTGCTTTGCTTTTCTCTTCTTTTCTTTCCTCTCTTCCTTCTTTTTTCATGATTTATTTGTACATTTTTCTGGGGGGGTTGTGGGAGAGGGTTCTTGCTCCTTGCTGATCTCCAACTCTCTAACACCAAACCTCTAGATATCTGGAACCTGAAATAATTTTTCCCAATAATCAGAGGAACAAGAGCCCATGAGTTAGTGCCAAATGGTATAAATTTTCCATTGTTCTTATTTAGCATTCTGGGAAACTTGCAGTGACATGCCTTGTTTGAGCTCTCGCCACATGGGACACACACAGTGTGTTACCTCCTATTATGAAATAGATAGACATCTTTAACCTCCTTTCTCAGTGTCACACGCATCTGTGTGAAGAGACCACCAAACAGGCTTTGTGTGAGCAACAAGGCTGTTTATTTCACCTGGGTGCAGGCGGGCTGAGCCCAAAAAGAGAGTCAGTGAAGGGAGATAGGGTGGGGCTGTTATATAGGATGTGGGTAGGTAGTGGAAAATTACAGTCAAAGGGGGGTGTTCTCTGGCAGGCAGGGGCAGGGGTCACAAGGTGCTCAGTGGGGGGAGCTCGTGAGCCAGGAGAAGGAATTTCACAAGGTAATGTCATCAGTTAAGGCAGGAACTGACCATTTTCACTTCTTTTGTGATTCTTCACTTGCTTCAGGCCATCTGGATGTACATGTGCAAGCTTGGGCTCAGAGGCCTGACATTCCTGTCTTCTTATATTAATAAGAAAAATAAAACAAAATAGTGGTGAAGTGTTGGGGTGGTGAAAATTTTGGGGGTTGTATGGAGAGATAATGGGCAATGTTTCTCAGGGCTGCTTCGAGTGGGATTAGGGGTGGCGTGGGAACTTAGAGTGGGAGCGATTAAGCAGAAGGAAGATTTTGTGGTAAGAGGCGATATTGTGGGGTTGTTAAAAGGAGGATTTGTCATATAGAATGATTGGTAATAGCCTGGATGTGGTTTTGTATGAAATGAGAAACTAAATGGAAGACACAAGGTCTGAATAAGAGAAGGAGAAAAACAGGTATTAAAGGACTAAGAATTGGGAGGACCCAGGACATCCAATTAGAGAGTACCCAAGGGGGTTCAGCGTAATTACTTGCTTGGTTGGTGAGTTTTTGGGCTCTATCCTTGACAGAGTCCTCCTTTTTAAGTTGGAGGCTGAGCTTGGTGAGGTGTGTTTTTAAAAGACCATTAGTCCGTTCTACCTTTCCTGAAGATTGAGGATGGTAAGGGGTATGAAGGTTTCACTGAATACCAAAAGACTGAGAAACTGCTTGGGTGATTTGACTAGCAAAGGCCAGTCCATTATTGGACTGTATAGAGTTGGGAAGGCCAAACTGAGGAATTATGTCTGACACAAGGGAAGAAATGACCATGGTGGCCTTCTCAGACCCTGTGGGAAAGGCCTCTACCCATCCAGTGAAAGTGTATACCCAGACCAAGAGTTATTTTAGTTTCCTGACTCGGGGCATGGGAGTAAAGTCAATTTGCCAGTCTTGGGCAGGGGCAAATTCTCAAGCTTGATGTGTAGGGAAGGGAGGGGACCTGAGAAATTCCTGAGGAGTAGTAGAATAGCAGATGGAACACTGAGAAGTGATTTTTTGAGGATAGATTTTTACGATGGAAAGGAAAAGAGAGGTTTTAAGAGGCGGGTTAGCAGCTTGTAACTTACATGGAAGAGGTTATGAAATGATGACAGAATAGAATGGGCCTGTGAGGCTGGAAGGAGATATTTTCCTTGGTCCAAGAACCATTTGCCTTGTTTGGGAAGAGATTGATAGGTGGAAGTTTCAGTGGGGGAGTAGGTGGGAGTGACCAGATGAGGAGAAAAATTGCCGTGAGGGATAGAAGTTGGAACCCTAGCTGCTTTTTTAGCTACCTTATCAGCATAAGCATTGCCCGGAGCTATGGGATCTGATGCCTTTTGATGGCCCTTGCGGTGAATGACTCCAGCTTCCTTTGGAAGTAAAGCGACCTTGAAAAGAGTTTTTATTAAAGAGGCATTAATGATGGAGGACCCTTGCATAGTGAGGAAACCTCTTTCTGCCCATATAACAGCATGGTGGTGCAGGATATGGAAGGCATATTTAGAATCAGTATAAATATTGACAAGTAATCCCTTTGCAAGAGTGAGAGCCCGAGTTAAGTCAATGAGTTCAGCTTGCTGAGAGGTAGTGGAGGGGGCAGAGCGGTAGCCTCAGTGATAGATGTGGAAAATACTATAGCATAGCCTGTCTTTGGTGGTGAATGGTGATTAGGCCTGTTGGAACTGCCATCAATAAACCAGATGTCGCACCACTGCACTCCAGCCTGGGCGACAGCGAGACTCTGTCTCAAAAAAAATAAATAAATAAAAATAAAAATAAACCAGATGTGATCAGGGGAGGAACAGGAAAGAAGGAAATATGGAGAAATGGAGTGAATGCCAGGTGTATCAGAGAGATACAGGCATGGGGGTCAGGTGTCGTATCAGGAATAATGTGGGAGCTAGCCTACAACAGTAAGGTCAAGTTGTTTGGACAGAAAGGCTACAGGGCACAGTCCTGGCTCTTGTGTAAGAATTCTGACCGCAGAGTCCTGCACTTCGGCTGTGTGTAATGAAAAAGGGTTGGGATGAGTTAGGGAGAGCTAGTGTGGGAGCAGCTTCTAGGGCTGTTTTTAAGGAATGGAAAGAGAAGTGGCAAAAGGATTTAGATCTGTGGGGTCAGCTAGGTTTGCTTTTCTGAGTTTATGTAATGGTTTGGTCAGGATGGTAAAACTAGGTCTCTAAAGGTGGAGTATCTAACCATGCCTAGGTAGGAAAGGAGTTGTTGCTTTGTAGAAGGGGTTGGGGTTTGGGAGATTAGCCAGATATGATCAGAAGGGAGAGCACGTGTGTTTTCATGAAGAATTATGCCGAGATAAGTAAAGGATGAGGAAGAAATTTGGGCTTGACTGAAGTAATGGGGCTGTCTGTGAAGCCTTGAGGCAGTACAGCCCAGGTAATTTTCTGAGCCTGATGGGTGTCAGGGTCAATCCAAGTGAAAGTGAAGAGAGGCTGGGATGAAGGGGGCAAGGGAATAGTAAAGAAAGCATGTTTGAGATCCAGAACAGAGTAATGGGTTATGGAGGGGTTGTGGAGGGAGGTATTGAGGTTAGGAGAGTATATGACTTTGGCACCATGGGGTGGATACACAAGACACTTTGGTTGATAAGGTGCAGATCCTGAACTAACCTGTAAGGCTTGTCCAGTTTTTTTTGGACAGGTAAAATGGGGGAATTGTAAGGAGAGTTTATAGGCTTTAAAGGGCCATGCTGTAACAGGCAAGTGATAACAGGCTTTAACCCGTTTAAAGTGTACTGTGGGATGGGATATTGGCATTGAGTGGGGTAAGGGTGATTAGGTTTTAATGGGATGGTAAGGGGTGCATGATTCGTCACCAAGGAGGGAGTAGAGGCATCCTATTCTTGTGGATTAAGGTGGGGAGATACAAGGGGAGGATGTGAAGGAGGCTTTGAACTGGAGAAAAGGGCTCCCAGTTCCAAAGGCCTAATCACCATTCACCAGCCAAGACAGGCTATGCTATAGTATCTTCCACATCTATCACTGAGGTGTGGCTGTAGCCTAGGAGTAGTCAGGGAAGCAGACAATTTAGTTAAAATGTCTCAGCCTAATAAGGGAGCTGGGCAGGTGGGGATAACTAAAAAGGGGTGCTTAAAAGAATATTGGCTAAGTTGGCACCAGAGTTGGGGAGTTTTAAGAGGTTTAGAAACCTGGCCGTCAATACCCACAACAGTTATGGAGGCAAGGGAAACAGGCCCTTGAAAAGAAGGTACTGTGGAGTGGGTAGCGTCTGTATTGATTAAGAAGGAGATGGACTTACCCTGCTCTCTAAGAGTTACCCAAAGTGTCTGTGATGGTCCTGTAGGCTTCCGAGGCAATAGGGCAGTGTCAGTCTTCAGCCGCTGAAGCCGAGAAGATCTGGGAAGGAGTCAGTCAGAGAGCCTTGGGCCAGAGTTCCAGGGGCTCTGGGAGTGGCTGCCAGGTGAGTTGGACAGTCTGATTTCCAGTGGGGTCCCACACAGATGGGACACAGCTTAGGAGGAATCCTAGGCTGCGGGCATTCCTTGGCCCAGTGGCCAGATTTCTGGCACTGGAAGCAAGATCCTGGGGGAGGCAGTCCCGGAGGAATGCCTGGCCCCTATGGTTTAGACGTTTTGAAGTTCTTGTGTGCTGGAGATGTGACTGGGGTTTCTCTCACAGTTGAGGCAAGGAATTGCAACTCAGAAATACGTTGCTACTTGGCTGCCTCTACTGTATTATTGTACACCTTGAAGGTGAGGTTAATTAAGTCCTGTTGTGGGGTTTGAGGGCTGGAATCTAATTTTTGGAGCTTTTTCTAATGTTGGGAGGGGCTTGGGTAATAAAATGCATATTGAGAATAAGATGGCCTTCTGGCCCTCTGGGTCTAGGGTGGTAAAGCATCTAATGGTTGTTGCCAAACGGGCCATGAACTGAGCTAGGTTTTTATATTTGATGAAAAAGAGCTTAAACACTAACTGATTTGGGAGAGGTCAGATGAAGAAAAAGGAGCATTAACCTTGACTATGCCTTCAGCTCCAGCCACCTCTTTAAGAGGAAATTGTTGGGCAGGTGGGGGAGGGCTAGTCCCAGAATGAAACTGTAAGCAGGACTGGGCATGAGGAGGGGAAGTAATAGAAAGGTTATAGGGTGGGGGAGCAGAGGCTGAGGAAGAATTGGGACCTGGTTCGGCCTGGTGAGGAGCAGCCTGGGGAGGAGAGGTCAGATGAGTCCATAGAAAAGGAGGATTCAAAGGACTCAGCTTGGGGTGGAGACTGAAGGAACAGACAGGAGAGAAAGAAGAAAGATTTGGGATGAGCCACATTGGGAGCAGAGACTAGGGAGGGACCAATGTGTAAAAGAATGCCTGGACATCAGGCACCTCAGACCATTTGCCTATTTTTCGACAAAAATCATCCAGGTCTTGTAAAATGGAGAAATCAAAAGTGTCATTTTCTGGCTATTTAGAACCTTTATTGAGTTTGTATTGGGGCCAAGCGGTGTTGCAGAAGAAAATAAGATGCTTAGGTTTTAGGTCAGGCGAGCGTTGAAGAGGTTTTAAGTTTTTGAGAACACAGGTTAAGGGAGAAGAAGGGGGAATGGAGGGCGGAAGTTTGCCCACAGTGAAGTAGGTAAGTTCAAAGAGAAAGGTGGAGACACAGAGAAGGGGGTGGTGAGCAGCCCTAGGCTGCAGTGTGGGTGAGCAGCCAAAGCAGGCGTCCCCACAATTGACTTGCCACCAAGGGAATGTGGGTGAATGACCAAGGCAGGCATCCTCGTGGTGATCAGACACCAATGGAGTGTGGGCGAATAATCAGGCAGGCGTCCCCACAGTGATTAATCACCAAGGGAAGACTATCTTCCCGAGTCCATGACGGGTGCCGGAGTTTTGGGTCCACGGATAAAATGTGTCTCCTTTGTCTCTACTACAGAGGAAAAAGAACTGGAATTGGAAGGACGGGGAGATTGAAGGGTAGCGAGAGAGGGAGAATGAAGGATAGCAAAAGAGGCTGGAGAAGAGAGTGAAAAGACTGCTTACCCGATTTGAAATTGGTGAGATGTTCCTTGGGATGGTTGCTCTGAGGACCCGAGGTTGTAGGTGTATCTCCTCACGGAGTGATGGTGAGGACAGGGGCTGGTCTCCCAAAGGAGTCCTCCCATCTCAGGTCTTTGGCACCAAACGTCACTTGTGTCCACGTGAAGAGACCACCAAACAGGCTTTGTGCGAGCAACAAGGCTGTTTATTTCACCTGGGTGCAGGCAGGCTGAGTCCAAAAAGAGAGTCAGCGAAGAGAGATAGGGATGGGGCCGTTTTATAGGATTTGGGTAATAGTGGAAAATTACAGTCAAAGGGGGTTGTTCTCTGGCCGGCAGGGGCGGAGGTCACAAGGTGCTCAGTGGGGGAGCTTCTGAGCCAGGAGAAGGAATTTCACAAGGTAATGTCATCAGTTAAGGCAGGAACTGACCATTTTCACTTCTTTTCTGATTCTTCGCTTGCTTCAGGCCATCTGCATGTATATGTGCAGGCTAGGGCTCAGAGGCCTCACACTCAGCAAGTACAGTGGAAGCTGGGATTGGATAGGGAGATTTGTCCCATTAGTATCAACTGTGTCCTACAGGACTCTATTGTTTCAAGAGGTACTAAGCAAAGTAAAAATTGTCCTCCTCTTTCTAAAGATATATTTATTTGGCTGGCAATCAGAATGAGGCTTTTTCTCACTTTTTTGTCTTCTTTTGCTGAGAGCTCAGACTTTTAAACTATTACACAGCTGCCAAGGAATGAACATGTACCAGATTTCTACATGAGAATGTGAAAAGAAAAGCCTATCATTTAAGAAACATGTGTGTGAGGGCATTGCAAGGTGTTAAGTATGATACTGAAGAATATTATTGTTTATTCCTAGCTTGGAAAAGTAAGTTCACTCTAGGCAATAGTACATACACAGTAAGTGGAGTTCATCATTTTCTTTGCAGAACCATGGCCCGGGGCTCACTGATCATCCCTGTCTCTGCAGTGATGATCTTTAAGCATTAAATGAAGACAAATTCTTCTCATTTCTTATTTAGCTATAACCTGGTATTATCAGAATCTGAGTCTTAGGTAAAATATTTCATTTCTACTATTTGCTCTACCAAAATAGCCTCCTTAAAAATAATGATTTATATACATATGCATTTTGATTTACAATTTTCACCTTCCTTAGAGTTCTCTGCATCCGAATGATTTTTTGATTAATAGTTCAAATCTCTCTATACTAAGTATACAATTTCCCCATAAATATTCAGTTGTTCAGATAATCCTGTTTCCTGTCAAAAGTGCTTCTGATGTTTTATAAAAACACAGGATTCTTTTTTCTTCATTTTCTATTTGTGTAATATATAATGCAATATTTATTGAAAAATTGGCTCATGCAAATTTCCCTGATATAGTTGATAAGGTCAAATAGTAATGAAAAATATACTTACCTGAATATTTTATCAATAAGATTCACATGTTATTTTCACAAATGTTTGCAAAGAACTGCTATATTCTGTAATTCATCTTCACTTTTGACCAAACTGTCTGACTGAAGTATATTTATTATCTAATATTCATATTTGGAGTCTGTTATTTTCATGCAATATCTCTTTTCTCATTTCAATAAGGCTTTCTTCTTCTAATTTAATGTACAAATAGTGGTGAAGGTAGAGATTTAACATTGCCAGTAATATATTAAAAAATGTTTTATTAGGTTAGCAATAGCTCATGGAAGGTAGGTATCCACAACTAATAATGTGAATACTGCAATTGTGAAATTTGTTAATTTTTAAGATCTTTCTAATTTCTTTTATCCATAAGTATTTGGAAAGCATAATATAACTTTAATATTAGAATCAGAAAAAAATTATATACATCGCTGACTGAAGAAATATTTCAACTCAGTCTGCCTGTGTTTGAATCTTGGTGCTCTCGTTTCTTCCCTGCATGAACTTGAGCCATTTATTCATCCTTTCTAAAGCAGTAGTTAAATCAGTGATAAAATACGGAACGTCATTCCTACATCAGAAATTTGTTTTCATGAATAAATAATAAAATGAGTAAAAAACCTGCTTCGAATATTATCAACTATGCTTTCTAAGCATTTAATACATTTCAACTAATAGTTTCAACAATTTTGATTATCTAGTAAGTAAGATCATACATGTGCCCAAGTGCTATATCAGCACGAGGGATGGCAGAGAAGTTGAGCAGAGGAAAAGAGAAGTTTTCCATAAGGTGTCATGCTAAACTGAACACTGAAGGACTGGCTTTCCTTATAGAAAAGCAAATTGCAGGCGGGGCGCAGTGGCTCACGCCTGTGATCCCAGCACTTCGGGTGGCCCAGGCTAGCAGATCACGAGGTCAGGAGATAGAGACCATCCTGGCTAACGTGGTGAAACCCTGTCTTTACCAAAAATACAAAAAATTAGCTGGGCATGGTGGCACGCGCCTGTAATCCCAGCTACTCAGGAGGCTGAGGCAGGTGAATCACTTGAACCTGGGAGGCGGAGGTGGTAGTGAGGTGAGATCGTGCCACTGCACTCCAGCCTGGGCTACAAAGCCAGACTCTGTCAAAAAAAAAAAAAAAAAAGAAAAGAAAGAAAAGAAAAGAAAAGAAAAACAAATTGCAGGCCAGGCATGGTGGCTCACACCTGTAATCCCAGCACTTTGGGAGGCCGGGGCCGGGGGATCACCTGACGTTAGTAGTTTGTGGCTAGCCTGGTCAACATGGTGAAACCACATCTCTATATTAAAAAAACACAAAAATTAATTGGGCATAGTGGTGCACGCCTGTAATCCCAGCTACTCGAAAGGCTGAGGCATGAGAATTGCTTTAACTTGGGAGGCAGAGGTTGCAGTGAGCTGGGATCATGCCATCACACTCCAGCCTGAGTGAAAGATTGAGATTCTGTCTCAAAAAAAAAAAAAAAAACAAATTCATTTTTTTTAGTATGTCCTTAGGATCCGTTTGTAGAATTGTGGATTGAAGATTCTCAATCATATCTGAGGCTTTTCCTCTGTGTTGCTAAATTCCTGTCTTGAGAGATTTTATCAATATATCCTCACATGTAATAAATGAGATACAATGAAAAAAATATTTTAATAGGTAAAAGGAATATTGTCATGAGTGGATAGAAATAAAATTGTTATAATTTGGAAAAATTTGTTTTTATACTTTTCATCAAAAGACTTAAATAGTTTTATACTTTTGTGTGTGGGTTATTCTGCTTATAAAAATTTGTCCTAAAATCAGAAAAATTAAAGTTAAAAGAGATATTGTGAAGAAAATTATTTAACTGAGAATAATTTTTATTAGAAGTTAGAAAAATACAGCCATACTATGTAATAATAGGAAAAAAGGAAATATTTTTTGTTTTAATAATATATTTTTGTTTTGTTTTGTTTGAAACAGGATCTGGCTCTGCCACCCACGTTTCAATGCAATGGTGTGGTCATGGCTCACTGTAACCTCAAACTCCTAAGCTCAAAATCCTTCTGCCTCAGCCTCCCAAGTAGCTGGGACTATAGGGATTAACTATGCCTGGCTAATGTTTTATTTTTTATTGTTTTTGTAGAGACAGGGTCTCATTATATAGACCAGGCTGGTTTTGAACTCCTAGCCTCAAGTGATCCTCCCAACTCGGCCTTTCAAAGTGTGGAGATTACAAGTGTAAGCCACCAACACCAGTTTACAATACATATTTTGAATGGACTGTTAAAGAAAATGACAAACATATTGATGAAGCATTTCATTCATATCAGAAATGTTTATATTATATAAGTAAAAGAAGCAAGTAACACTATAAAACTATATGCAAAACGGAAATTAATAGCGTTTATCTTACAATATTAAGATTATGGGTTGTTTATATTCTGATACAGAGTTTGTATTTTCTATGAATTCTACAATAAGCATATCATATTCTTATACGTATAAAAATGTTTATATAAGAAAAGTCATTTTGGTTAATTTGTTAGACTCTTAGTATATTGTTTTATGAAAATTTCTAAAGGTCAATATTTTCCCCAGAAATTAATGTTGTGGAAATTCATATATAAAAATGTTAATGTTATCATTATCATTGCTTTCTTTGTTCTTCCATCATTTGAAATAAATACAAATTTTATGAACCATCTGATATCCTGGTGTTATTTTCAACAAACACTAGATATTAAAAGAATGGTGTTGCCTGAGATCCTCTGGAGAGAAGATTGACAGAGGAGAGCAGGTCCTAGAACAGAGTCCTGGCTCACTGATTTCATTAGTGGTAAAAACAAAGAAAAGGTTAGTAATGGATACTGAGAATAAAAACTGACTAAGAGACAAATCAGAAGAGAAAAAAATCTGATTCTTTTAGAAGAAAATAAAAGTGTTTTGAGAAGGAGAGGGTATTAATTATGTCAAAGCATGGTCAAGTAGGGTGAAATGAGATGACTAATTAGTGTGGCTGGCAGTATGTAGGTAATTGGAAACTTCAGTACTAGACAATCTAATTGGATGGTGGGAACAAAAGCAGGAATAGAGTGAGGTGAGGAAAAGAGTGGGAATTTTACAAAGCAGAACCAATGAGTGTGCACAATTCTGGGGGTTATTTTGAGGAGAGATGAATAATGGTATTTGGAGGGAGATGGAGAGTGATGAAAGGGAACTATTTCCTTTTGTATTGTATTCAATTGAATTTAAAAATGTGAACTTCTATGACATGCTTGAATGCTAAGGGCAATGATCTATGAGCAAGAAGTAACCTGATGGTGAAAGGACTATGAGGGGTAAATGTATGGTGAAGGTTGCCTGATGAGTAAAAACAGACAAAACCCAAACCACAAATGGTGGGGAAGACTTAGATAGGAGCAAAGATACCTCTTCTATTGTATTGTTGTGAAGCAAGGCAGATTATGTGGCAAGAGATGCAGACAGGCTGGTTGCTTTAGTGGCAGAAATTTCTCTTCTGACTTAACCTAATGTTAAATAAAGGCTTGGGAGAAAATTATCAGGTGAGACTTGGGATAGGGTCTTGAGAAGGGAAGAGGGGTAGAGTTACACATTATTTGTTTTATGTGGGGCAAAAATGTAAAAGAAGGATTATATTGAGAGTGTATAGACTCTACTTAAGATATACAGTCATTTGTTTAGTATGATGAGATTGGTCAAACAGGTCTTGCCATTTTCTTTAGCAAAATTGAATGATTTCGGTATTACAATGGAATAGATTGATATTTAGTTTTAGTAGAATTGCAGTTTTGTCTAGCCAAATGCAACAAGAAAAATGGGGATGAGAAAGTCTAGGGACAATAAAAGACTGATTATAATATATGAATATGAACTGGAGGCTGAGTCGTGGAGAAGGAAGTGGAGGGTGACAGAAAGTGAGGAGGAAGTAGCACATCTGGCAGGGATGTTACTGTGAGGTTGGAGAAATGGAGTAAGAATATGGAAGTTGAATCTGTAAGAATGAGAAGTGGTGGCGACATCAGGTTTCGTAATGTTTGCTGTCATTGAGGAGCGTGAGGTAAAGAATACAAGTGTTTATTTACTTTCTGCTATTTGTCTGGCACTATTCTCGTCACTGGATACACTGCTAAACAAAAGAGAAAAAACCATTGCCCTAATAGAGCTTTCACTATGAAGGTAGGAAATACAGCCCTCATAATAAATACAGTACTAATATAAATTAGTAAATAGCATGTTATGTTAAAAGGAATATATTATGTTAAAAGCTGAGAAAATAAATCATTTACAACTGCTTACAACCAAGATGGAGTGATAGGGACCAGATATATCCACTCAACGTCAACAGCCAAAATAGGATAAATGAAAACAACGCTGAACCTCAAAAAGTAGAAGAAAGTAACCCCTAAGTTACGATAAATAAAAGTGAGTCCCACGATTACACCAGTTTTTTACATTGAGAGAGATTCCTGGTCACAGTGTACGGAGTAAGAATGGACGCCAGCAGCCTCCCTGAGTTGACACAGAGCTGAGACTTTGGGGAGAGCAAAGTAACTTAGTGTGCAGGACAGCGCATCAGAGAGAAACCAGCTGCAGAGTGAGAACTCCCAGATCTGCAAAGGATCTCCCCCAGGGTTTCAATGGGTACTAATCAGAGCGTGTGTCAGGAAACAAAAGAGATTGAAGAAGGAAACTTCCCAAATGTTAGCAATATACGGTGCTCTAAAAGGGCCAGGACTAATGTCTATTCCCAGAAGTCATACTGGAAAACCTTAAGATTCATGGAGCATTGGGAAAGTACACAGAAAGGTCTTGCCTCCGTAGTGGAGAATAACTGCACACTGAACACTGCTCAGGTCCCACCTAACAAATTCTAAAAGGGTCAAACCACGTTAAAGTAATTTAACAGCATCCTATAATAAAACTCAATAATTCTTATGGGAACACAAAATTATCCAGCACTCAACGGAGTAAATTCAAAGGTTTGGCATCCAGTAAAAAGACTTTCCAGGGATGCAAAGAAGCAAGAAAATATGACCCCTGACGAAAAGGCTGATAAAAAATAAATCAGTGAAAACCAACCAAGAACTGACACACATATTTGAATTAGCAGATGGACATTAAAAGTTATTGCAATTATATTTCATATATTCAAAAAGTTTAAAAGTTAGATACACTGAAATTATATTAAAAAACTTAAAATTAAATTTTTGGAGATAAAACTGTAATATACATCATATCTCTCTTTTTCTTCCTGTTTTGGATTAATTGATTATTTTTATGATTTCTTCTTGTTTCTGTTTTTGTTTTGTTTTGAGACGGAGTCTAGCTCTTGCACCCAGGCTGGAGTGTAGTGGCGCGATCTCGGCTCACCGCAAGCTCCGTCTCCCAGGTTCACGCCATTCTCCTGCCTCAGCCTCCCAGGTAGCTGCGACTACAGGTGCCCGCCACCACGCCCGGCTAATTTTTTTGTATATTTAGTAGAGATGGGATTTCACCATGTTAGCCAGGATGGTCTCAATCTCCTGAACTCCTGATCCACCCGCCTTGGCCTCCCAAAGTGCTGGGATTACAGGCGTGAGCCACCACGTTCAGCCTACGATTTCTTTAGATCTCCTTTTTTTTGGAGGTTTATTTACCATAACTGTTTTGTTATAATAGTCATTGTTTCAGGGCATATTGACATATTAGTTAAACCTCTTTGCATTATATTTTGTCTTGGTCACTGTAATTACTAAGATATTCATCCTTAAATCCTTTTCAGTCTGTATAATTTAATATTGTGACACTACACTAAGTGTAATTACCTTGCAATAATTACCTTACAATTGCCCTGCCCTATTGTTTATACTGTTTATAGCCTCTCTATATTTATGTATAATAAATATTTTATATAAGCTAAATAAGATATAAATTCATAAAAGTCTTATAATTTTTGTTTTCAACATTTAAATGACTATTAAAGATTATATCTTTAGAACAGCTATAAACACTCATACCTATTCCTTTGTGAAAACCCAACTCTCTATCTCCTATTACTAGATACCATCTAGTAATGTCTTTCCCATCAGCTTGAAGATCTCTCTTTGTTGTCTCTTGAATTGCAGGGACTCTGCTCACAAATTGTTTGCTTTTACTTATCTCAAAATGAGTTTACTTTGCCATCATTCTTAAATTATATTTTTCTTTCATATAGAAATCTGAGTTGACATTTTTCCCCTTTTTTCTGCAGTAAGCCAAGATCATGCCACTGCACTCCAGCCTGGGTGACAGAGTGAGACTCTGTCTCAAAAAAAAAAAAAAAAAAAAAAAAAAAAGTAAAAAAAACTAAAAAAAAAAGGCCGGGCGCGGTGGCTCACGCCTGTAATCCTAGTACTTTGAGAGGCCAAGGCGGGCGGATCACAAGGTCAGGAGATCAAGACCATCCTGGCTAACACGGTGAAACCCCGTCTCTACTAAAAATACAAAAAATTAGCTGGGCGAGGTGGTGGGCGCCTGTAGTCCCAGCTACTCGGGAGGCTGAGGCAGGAGAATGGCGTGAACCCAGGAGGCGGAGCTTGCAGTGAGCCGAGATCACGCCACTGCACTCCAGCCTGGGCGACAGAGTGAGACTCTCTCTCAAAAAAAAAAAAAAAAGTAAAAAAAAAAAAGACATTTTTCCCCTTTTTTCACTTTGACAACGTTGTTTCTCTGTCTGCTGCTGTTCATCCCTTCAGAGGAGAAGTCAGCAGCCATTCTTGTTACTCCTCTGTATGTAATGACATTTTTCTCTAGTTGCTTTTAAGATTTCCCTTTGTTGTTGTGTTGTAACATTCTAATTATACTGTGTCTAATAATGTGTTTGTTTTAAAAATATTTATCCTTCTTGCGTTTTGATTAGCTTCTTGAATTTGTAAACGTATGTCTTTCAGCAAAATTGGGGAATTATTTGCCATTATTTATCCGAATGTTTTGTTACCTTATCTTTCATTTCTCTCCCCTTCTGAGCCTCTAATTACACATTTTTTTTGGAACTTGGAATATTATCTCACAGCCTACACAGGTCTCATTCACTTTCTTCCTATATGTTGTTTCTTACTTTTCTTCATTTTAGGTAATTTCTATTTCTTAATTTTCAAGTTAACTGGATAAATATGTTTTTATAGATTTTCTATTATTTTGTATGATGTTTCTGAGATTCTCTATTTTTTCATTTATTATGAACATATGTAATTTCACATTCTTGAGTATAGTTAAAAATGTTGCTTTATAACACTTACCCACTAATCCCAATATTTGGGCAATTGTGGTGTCTGTTTACACTGACTATCATTTTTCTCAGGTAAAGATCTGCGTTATATTTCCTGTTTTATAATTTGGGAGTTTATCTTGGTCTTTGAAGCATTGTGAATAATATTTTTTCAGAGGCACTCGCTCGCTTTATTTATCTGAAGAATGTTGAAGATTAATTTGATTGTTTCTTTGTTTTTTAGCAGTTTAGTTTAGTTCAGACTACAAAGATTATCTCCTATCTGATGGACAGTAGATTAAATATATTTTCTGTTTTTTACTCTTTTTTTTTCTTTTTTTTATTATACTTTAAGTTTTAGGGTACATGTGCACAACGTGCAGGTTAGTTACATATGTATACACGTGCCATGTTGGTGTGCTGCACCCATTAACTCGTCATTTAGCATTAGGTATACCTCCTAATGCTATCCCTCCCCCCTCCCCCCACCCCACAACAGGCCCCGGTGTGTGATGTTCCCCTTCCTGTGTCCATGTGTTCTCATTGTTCAATTCCCACCTATGAGTGAGAACATGCGGTGTTTGGTTTTTTTGTCCTTGTGATAGTTTGCGGAGAATGATGGTTTCCAGCTTCATCCACATCCCTACAAAGGACATGAACTCATCATTTTTTATGGCTGCATAGTATTCCATGGTGTATATGTGCCACATTTTCTTAATCCAGTCTATCATTATTGGACATTTAGGTTGGTTCCAAGTCTTTGCTATTGTGAATAGTGCTGCAATAAACATACCCAAAAGCAATGGCAACAAAAACCAAAATTGACAAATGGGATCTAATTAAACTAAAGAACTTCTGCACAGCAAAAGAAACTACCATCAGAGTGAAGAGGCAACCTACAGAATGGGAGAAAATTTTTGCAATCTACTCATCTGACAAAGGGCTAATATCCAGAATCTGTTTTTTACTTTTTAGCCGTGTTGATTGGAGCCTGGTTTGGGCCTGTGTAGTTCTAGGGGCAGCTTGATATTTGGAAAGAATGTTTAATTTCCTTTGTGCGGTTTTCACATTCTGGAATTCACATTTCTTTTACTTACTCTGGTAGCCCCTAACTCTAACTTCTGCTTTTTAAGGACAGGAAAACTGTGATATTCTATGTAAATATTAATTGCCTGCACTATAACTGACTGAAATCTGCTTGTGGCAAAAAGCTATGGGTATAGGAAAATCATTCAGTGCCTTTACCTTCCCTAAAATATCTAATTTCTGCCTGTTTTTAATTGCTATAAATTGTCTTCAACTATTTTTGTTGTGGCTATTATTTTTTCTTTCTAGAGTTTATGTGTTTCCAGTGAAAGGGTCTATCTGATATGAGTTATTCTATGAGTATTGGACATAGAAATACACTTAATTTTGTATTTTGACATTTTAATAACTATACTTATTAAATCTAATATATGATAGGTAGATTCCTTAGAATTTTCTAAGTATACTATCATTAATTTACAATCATAACTTCTTTAATCTTTCTATTTTAATTATTTCTCTTATTTTATTGTATTCACTATAAATTCTAGAACAGGAGTTGACAAACTCCTACAGGTCAAACACAGCCCAACATCTCTTTTTGTAAATAAAGTTTTATTAGAACATAGAACTCTTCATTATTTTATTGTCCCTGGTTTCATTCTACAATGTCAAAGTTGAACAGCTGTGACAATGACTCTGACAGGGAATGCCTAAATGTTTTCTTTTTGTCCTTTTATGAAAAAAGTTTGCCAACCTCTGCTGTAGTATATTGTTGAATAGAATTTGTATTAATGGGCAACTATATTTAGATTTCAGATGTAAAGCTTTTAAAATTATTTCTTATATTATTTTCCCTTGGTTTTCTCTACACACACTTAACTTTAGACGTACTCTTCAATTACTTGTTTCCTGGGAGAATATATCAAAGAATGTTTGTTGACTTTGTTTCGATTGCACTTTAGGATCTGTTGAGAATAACATATGGTGTTTCCCCTTGTATTTGTTAATGTAATGTCATAGGACAGATCCCTTAGGATATATATTTTGAGATAAAGATTTGCATGTGGAGTACTAGTAAGGGAATGTCTCAGGATCAAAACTTGTGGGGAAGTAAAGACAATAGGATTGGGCAGTGGGAGAAGTTGAGCATGCAATAATATAGTCAAAACAAAGGTTTTAGACATCTCATGGGAAGCTGTGGAGCTGTGGTGGCCTTACAGTATTTTCCTGAATTCAGGCAAAAGTGACATAGGATTTAGAATGCTCCCCAAAGGGAACATAGATAGAGTAGCTCTCTAACCAGTTTCAATTGCCTGCCATAATTTAAGATCTGTCGTTCATGAACACTCCCAGCAACTGGCTAAATGAATCCTTCCGTTCCGGGCATGGATAAATTTAGGTGACTCACCACAGTATACATCCCATTAAAACAAATAGTTATACTAATTAATTTATGGATATTTAACAGGTCTTGCATAACGTGATAAAACTTCTACATGATCATGATATATTATCAATCTTATGCATTGCTGAAATTAATTTTCTACTATTTGGAGTGATATGTTGCCTTTATGTTTATGAAAGTAACTACTGTATAATTTTTTCTTATTCTTTTCAAGTTTTCATGTCATACATAACCTTCCCTCATAAAAAACGTTGGGAAGTATGCATTTATATCTGCTCTGCAAAAGAGTTTATATAAGATTGATTTTATTTCTTCCTTAAAGATTGGGAAGAATATACTGTTGAGGCTATCTGGGTCAGGAATTTTATTTAAATGGGAATATTTTTTAATTTCAAATAATTTCAATAAAAGTTAACCAGCTTAAATTTAAACAACAAATTTACTCACTTCTACATTTTGTGTGAACACTGGCATAGTAATTCCTGGAGACCCGAAACATCATGATTGTCCACCGATCACAGTAGAGACTTCTGTGGATCTGTCGTTCAATGGAGTTTTAGCTCAGATCAGTGTCACGATGGGTCTAGGTGGCTTCCAAACTCATCCTGTGATTATTTCTCAGGTTTCAGAATGAATAATTGAAGTACACAAACAAGCAGTAGGCAGAGTCCCCATACTGTTTCCATGACCTATGGCTTAAGAGCTTACTATGGTAAGGAGGCCAATGGAAGCTAATGAAACTCTTTTACCTGAAAAAATGGTAAATTAAAAGCAATGCCATATTCCTGCAGGGATTGAAAAGATTACTGCCACCATTAAGCAATTGAAGGATTCAGGGGTAGTGATTTTCAACACATCCTCATTCAACTCGTCTAATTGGTCTGTACAGAGAAACAGATAAATGCTGGAGAATAACAGCAGACTATTATAAACTTAATCAGGTGGTG
Organism: Homo sapiens; assembly: GCF_000001405.40. Lineage (NCBI taxonomy): Eukaryota > Metazoa > Chordata > Mammalia > Primates > Hominidae > Homo > Homo sapiens. The sequence goes on along the minus strand of NC_000004.12, from coordinate 179,391,985 downwards.
TCTCCAATTGCAGCTCAAGTTCCAGATGTGCTTTTGTTTCCTGAGCAGATTAATACATCCCCTGGTAACCAGCATGCAGCTATTGATTTGGAAAATGCTTTTTTTTTTTTTTTTTTCCTCTCTAGACCTTTTACTAAAGACCACGAGAAGTAGTTTTGTTTTCAGATGACAAGGCCAGCTGAAATCTTTTGCTAACCTAGTTCAGGGTTATATCAGCTCTCTAGACCTTTGTCACCATTTAATCCATGGGATCTTGATTTATCTTCACCTCCAGAAGATGCCATGCTGCTCAATTACGTTGATGATATCGTGCTGATTGGACCTAGTTTGAGACAGATAGCAATTATTCTAGATGTGTCAGAGAAAATAAATAAAACTCAAAAAATTCAGGCACCCTTTATCTCTGTGAAATTTCCAGGGGTCCAGTGATACGAGGTATGTTGACATCCCTTCTAAAGTTAAAATAAATTGTTGCATCTACTCCTTCTTACTACCAAAAGAAGCACAGCACCTTTGGATTATGGAGGCAACACATTTCTCATTTTTGTATGCTACCCTGGTTTAGTTAGCCAGTGACCCCACAAGCTGATAGCTTTGAGGTAGACCCAGAACAACAGAGTATTTTGAAACAAGTCAGGGCTGTTGTGCAACATTCCCTGCTACTTGGGTCATGTGATCCAGTAGATCCAATTTTGGTTGAAGTGTCAATGAGAGATGTGCTGTTTGCATCCTTTGGAGGCTCTATCAGCGAATTGTAGCGCAGACTCTAAGGATTTTGTAGCAAAACCCTGCCTTCTTCTCTGGATAACAACTCTGCTTTTGAGATATGACATGTTACTGGCTGTGGCTCCTCCCAAGCCATAACACTGGGCATGCACAGCAGCACTCCATTGTCAGAGGAAGCAGTAGACAGGAGACCGGGCTTAAGCCAGGCCCTGAAGGCAAGTTGTGCTACATGACCTTCTCACTCCCAGCCTGGATCTATGGTCTCATCCGGAGTTCTCTATAACCAGTTGACAGAAGAAGGAAAGACATGGACCTGGTTTAGAGATGGTTCTGGGGTAATTTCTCCAGGAAATTCTCTAGAATGCTCTAAATTAGCACCCAATATATACTACTGTTTCTCCCATAGCCAGGATTCACAGGTCCAGGAAACAAGGAGTGCAAATGGAAGTGGATTGGTTCCACAAACAATTACCCCTAGTGATTCACTAACAAGGTTTTTCCTTCCCATCCCAATGACCTTAGGCTCTGTTAGTCTAGATGTCTTAATTCCAAAGGGAGAAATGCCTCCATCAGGAAAAGCAACAATGATTGCATTGAACTGGATGTTGAGGCCAACCACCCAGCAGCTTTGGATTCCTCATGTCTCTGAATGAACAGGCAAAGTGCAGGATTACTGAACTGGCTGGAGTCATTGATCCTGATGACCAAGTGGGAAATTGAGTTGCTACTGCAGATTGGAGGTGAAGAACAATACGTATGGAATACAGGTACCTTAGGCCATCTCTTAGCACTATAATAGTCTGTGATTATAGTCCATAGAAAATTACAAAAACCAATTTAGGCAGGACTGTTAATGGTGCAGTTCATTCAGAAATGAGCATTTGAGTCACCCATCAGGTGAAGGACCATCACTAGCTGAGATGCTTGCTGAGGACAAAGAGGATCTAGAATTGATCATGTAAGAAATGGGTTTAAATACCATCTATGACCACATAACCACTTGCAGAAATAAAGACCCAAATAGGTATAATTATTTATTTCTCACTTTTTTATAAATATGCTTATGTATATATTGGCTAGATATTTTTATTCTATTCTTTTATACCCTTATCATCTAACACAAGATACATTGATAATAATTAACTTTATATCACAATATTTACATTACAGGATACCAAGAGAGAAGAGAGAATATTATCTGAGGAAATTACATCCTCCTCTCAGGAGAAGGTTAGTATATTTTTAGTTGTAAGTAAAATAGTTGTCATGCAAGGCAGAAGTATTACTTGGTTATTGTCCTTATTCTACTTATCTGGTTGAACCTTGATTGATACATGATATAATCCTATAAATTCATTGAGACATATATTTCCAGGAGTACAGAGTAAAGTGGGAATTATGCATTGAATATTCAATTTTGTACAAGTGATCTTGAAGAAAAACAGTCTTGAGGAGTTTGGGAAACAAACTAGAACGGATTAAATAAACAAGAAGGAGGAGGAGGAGAAGGAAGAGGAGGAGGCTCAAACTCTTTAAGAAAAAAATCCACAATAGGAAGTAGAATCAAGAGACAGCTTGTATTTTGAGAACAACAAAAAGTTAAAAATAGACCTATCATACTTGTATGGTAATAAATAGTAGCTTGGGAAAAATTATGCTGCTGGAAAGAAAGGGCTTGGAAATTCCTAGATCATGAGCCTGGAAACAATGAAATAAATGGATTGGGAGACATTTCACAAATTCTTGTATTAATTTCAGATGCAAGAACAGCTCATCTGTATTATCAGGATGAAATGAAGAGCATATTGGACCAAGAGCTGGTTGCTGGGTGATATAGAGGTTGGGGAGTTATGGATATCTTCCTCTTAATTCTCTTAATTGTCCAATTTTTTTTCAGTGTAGTAGGACGCAAGATCATCTGTTAACAGTGAGCATGGGAGAGGATGTGGAGAAAGTTTGGAGAGAAGAAATTGTATGAAATTGTAATCTCCAAAATCAAAAGAATGCATGAAGTAGATAAGTGTTATAATATCATTATGTTATTAATCATGGCATCATAGTAACAATACTATTAATCGCCCACATCAGATCTGTTTTGATGAATTTAAACACTTAAACAGAATATTCAGCATGTTCGGCATGGTTGTGTTTTTTTTAAACAATATATTCAGATACAATGTTGTAGAAAAGGAGTAGATGAGAAGCAAATAGTTAACTGGGATATGGTTTTGACAAATACATATGATGACATAAGAGAGAGGGGCAGATTAAGGAATGAGGTTGGTGGAGAGAGAGAGAGAGCCAGAATCAGAGGGTGAGAGGGGATGAGAAAGTGAGGAGCAAACTCGCTGTTAAGATTGTGATTGGCAGAACTGTGGCTGAGAAAAGTATGTTTCTGTTAGGAGTAAGAATACCAATGAAATGAGAATTTGGATATTGAATATCAAATTCAATAATGACTATGGAAATCACATCATGGAGAGAGTGAGTCAGTGGTCAAACCCATGCATAAAAGAAGGGTGGTGACCAGGAGATCTGATCACCAGGAGATTCTTGATACTCACAGGCTTAAATTGCCACTGGGACAGGCCGATGGCCTGTGTTTCAATGTAGCTGGGTGTTTGAAGGAGGAAGGTAAAGATACGTTTGCAATTGGCTTTAAGGACCAAAACCAGGGAAGACACTGACGACATTCAGACCCTGAGATATATGGGGTATGAAAGTGAAGGAGCTTCTGCTAGAAAAGATCACAGCATGGTGAGAAAACTCTTCATAATTTCTTGGGGATTTGAAAGCCTCAGATAGATACTCTCTGTTATTGGCATGAGTATTTTGAATGAAATATATGCATATCTACAAAACTTATGATCAGTATATGTACTTACAGTAGATATTAAGGGTATATGTGTGATTTTCCAGTTTCTGTTCTTGTGTGAATTTCAAATATATTGCCTTTCTCCTTATTTCTTAATATATCACTCAAATCCTTTATTTTCTTGTGGCACAGTACTCTGCAAATCTCATTGCAGGATAAAAGTAATCTCTTTACACAGTGAGAAATGGGAAAGATTTTTACTGTTCCAGTGCCCTTAGTTTAAGTGTTGTCTTTATTAAACTAAAATTTTTATGATAAACATGATTTTCTTTACTGATTTTACAGCTTTTTATATATGGATCCCAAATTATCACTTAATGTGATCATTTGGAATTTCATGGCAATTCAAGTGCCATGACAATTTCTAACATATTTCTACTTTAAAATAGCTGACATGCATGTCAGATTTATTTTGTCAATCAGTGTTGCTACTAAAGAGTTTTGGAGCAGACCACTTTATCAGTGCTGTACAAAAGTTAATCTTTCTGAATCCAAGTTAAAGAAAATAGAGAAATAAAATGAAAAGTAAAAGCATCATCATTCACACCTCTGGCCCTGTGCGTGGATCCCACTGCGTATTGCAGCAATGCTCACTGCTGCCAGAGACGATTCTCCATCAACTCTACTTTTTTTTTGTGGGGGGGTATATTTCTGCTACTTTGAAAGAGAGGAAAACTATGTTATTTTCTTTTAAGAAAAACCCTTTTATTTTTATTCCAATAGCTAATGGTACAAGTGGTTTTTGGTTACATGGATTAACTGCAGAGTAGTGAAGTCTGGGCTTTTAGTGCACCTGTCATCCGAATAACGGACAGTGTACCCAATAGGGATTTTTTTTTATTCCTAGCCCCTCTGCGACCTTGCCTCTTTCTGAGTCTACAATGTTTATCATAGCACTCCGTATACCTTTGTGTACACATAGCTTAGCTCCCACTTGTAAATGAGAACATGCATTATTTGGTTTTCCATTTCTGAATGGCTTCCGTTAGAATAATGGCCTCCAGTTCCATCCAAGTTGCTGCAAAATACTTTATTTCATTCTTTTTTATGGCCAAGTAGTACTTCATGGTGTATAGATAGAGATAGAGATATATAGATATATCACATCATCTTCTTTATTCACCCATGAGTTGATGGACACTGAGGTTGATTACAAATATTTGCAATTGTCAATTGTGCTGTGATAAAGATATGTGTGCAGATGGCTTTTTGATATAATGACTTCTTTTCCTTTTCGGTAGGTGCACAGTAGTTGCATTTCTGGATCAAATGGTAGATCTACTTGCAGGTTTTTGATAAATCTCTATATTGTTTTCCATAGAGGTTGACTAATTTACTTTTTATATTTTTTCATCATTCAATATTTATTGATATTTTTGTGCCAAGGGCTGGTGACCATGGGGTAATAAATGTATACTCCTTCCCGTCTTATTTGTTGGCATGAGTTCAAGTTTTTAGTTGTAAATGAAAGAAACTATTGTGGTTGCCTTAAACACAAAGGAATTTATCAAAATTATATGAAATTACTAATTTTCTTGAGGCTTGGGTACTGCTGAGCCAGAAACAAGATCTAAAATTATGCCAGAGATCTATCACCAGCAGTAGAACTGCATTTTCACATATCCACACCTCTGGCCCTGTGCGTGAATCCCACTGCATATTGCAGCAATGCTGACTTCTGCCAGAGACGATTCTCCATCAACTCTACATTTTGTGTGTGTGTGACTTTTACCGATTGATATGGTTTGGCTGTGTTCCACCCAAATCTCATCTTGAATTGTAGTTCCCGTAATTTCCATGTGTTGTGGGTGGGACCTGGTGGGAGATATCTGAATCATGGGGGCAATTTGTCCCATACTGTTCTCTTGGTAGTGAATAAGTCCTATGAGATCGGGTGGTTTTATAAGGGGGAACCCCTTTCATTTGGCTCTCATTTTCTCTCTTGCCTGCTGCCATGTAATATGTGCCTTTTGCCTTCCACCATGATTATGAGGCCTCCCCAGCCACGTTGAACAGTGAGTCTATTAAACCTCTTTTTCCTTATAAATTACCCAGTCTCAGATATGTCTTTATTAGCAGCATGAAAATGGACTAATACACATACCATGAGTATATCTCATTGGCAAAGCCTGCATCCAAGCTGTAAGGGAGTCTGAGAATGTGAGTGCAGGAAAGTCTGAGCATCTTCAAGGAAGAGGGAGAGTTACCTTCCTCCAAATAAACTCAAACATGTCATAAGAAATAGATCCAAATATTGAATGGCCGAAACAAATGCCAGATATGTTTAATAAAGTGTATTCTTTCCTTGGATTATTTTTCTCTTCTCTTTATGTTCACATGATATTAGATTGTTTTTTCATCATTACCTCTTTTTCCTCGAAAAGAAATAGTATTAATGGCTGATATTTAATTCATTTTCACAGTAGAGAACATGTCATCTCCTCAGTTTTGCTACATTCACTCACCACTTATATGTAATTTAATATTTTATTTTAAAGTAATATGAAATTTAATACAATATTTTTAAAAGGAAACTATAAATTACTACCATAAATAGAAAAACAATATATTATGCTATAAATTATAAGTTACTTGTGGAAACAAATGTTATCACATTTAACTTCAGATGCTGGTGCCCACGAAATGTTCTTAGCCTGAGGTTGTCTCTCTCCTTTTTCATAGCCCTTACTAGAGTATTTATTGTTTCCTTGTTCATTTTTGCCCCTTCCCAAAATATGCTAAAAGACTTCATTTTTCTTCAAGATGCAGACTCAGAACCTACACTAATGCCCAACAGTCAGCAGATCCTCAATTTGTTGATTACAGTAATTTATAAACTAGAAAATAATGTAATTGGGGGGAACTTTTTCTTTGTGTAGTTCACTGTGTTTTGGTCCCATAGATCATCTTTTATACACATTGTGAGTAGAACGTATTTAAATTTTGGGAAACATTGATCCATGGCATTTGATATAGGATGTACTTAGCTCCTTGTGCCAAGTAAAATATGAATTGCCAGAGAAATCATGATATGTAGGTTTAATTTATTTTTCTTGGACATTACAAGAATATAAAACCTGATCATCTATTTCTTAATTTCCTGTATGATTATGAAATATATGTTTAATTCTGGATTATTTATATATGGCAATATTATACATCAATATGAATATTTAAAAACTTCCAGTTATTATTCCTTCACTTCTTTCTATGAAAAGTGTGAAACTTAGTGGGGATTAAAGCCAAAATCCAGATAATACAAATGCAAGGAAATACTTGGATAAGTGCCACAATATGTAGCTTTACCCATGTTAAGTACTAAATAAATGTTTGCAAGATAATAAAAATAATGCATTTTCTAAAAGTAACTACTTTGAAAGGCAATGCCTACTGAATGTTTAGGTTGGCATGTTGTTTTTAAGTTGCTAATCTTAGCACCTTAAAGCATCGCTTTATACTTTTGATAAATGTATTATGTGAGTTTAATACTTCTAAATGCTTCTAAATACTGCTTATACTTACTACATTAAAACAACTAAATTTGTTAGAATGTCAGGAATAATGAGGACACTGAGTGTAAATTGTGCCTATAAAAGTCATTATATTTATTTAGTTACAGAATGTTTATGAGGGGGCTTAAGTTAGCTGAAACATGTTCCATGTAGGTAACTGCAAGGATGACACTTTTTTGGAGTTTAAAGTAAGTTGGCTTTTGATTGCATAATTTCATGATAATTTTTCAGAATACCTTAAGAAAGAAAAAGACTACATTTTGTGAATTTGTCTCTGTGAATTGTCCTGCCAGTCTACTTAAATCCTAGCATATCTGAGACAATATAATGACCTCCACACAAAGAGTTGTTTGTATAACTTGCTTGTGATGTGGCAGTTCCAAATTAAACAACTGAAGGAAACCCTTGACGGTAGACACCAGAGAGCATTGTTTCTCCATAATAAATGTCATAATTTCGTCAAAGGCATATCATAGTGGCAAAACACCTTTACATATTAGTGTGTTATAGTCCTTTAGAAAGATTGACACCTCATTAAGAAGACCTTGCCTACCTTTGACAAATCTCGCAAGTCAGTTGTCTCTTTATCCTCATGCCAAGTAAAATATGAATTGCCAGAGAAGTCTTGCAATATTCTTTTCTTATTTTCCTCTTATCCATTCACATAAAACTAAAAGAATTGTTAAAGGAGGCAGCATATTGCAATGGAAGTTGTGGCAACTTGAAATTTATCTGTTACTTATGAAATAATTTAGTCTCACTTAAATTAGTATCCTAATAAGATGCTAAGGTAAAATTTAAGCTTATGAAATTATTTCATTTCTCAAAGCCTTAGCTTCCTCGCGTGTAAAATAGAAATAACAGAATTTATGATAGATTTGTTCTTAGAATTAAGTGAGATACAGTCTGAAAAACATCTCATATGTGCTTGGCACGTTACGACTGGTAGATAGACAGGGGCTGCCTGCCCATTGTTCCTTAACACACAAGGCAAGGGAGAGGACCTGTGCTAAACTAACCAACTAGCCACATATCCAACCAGGATGAGTATAACTGGTATAGTCATTTACAGCCTTGCATATGCATCCAAATTATTTAAAGAATTTTCAAAAAAAATCAAGTGTTTAGATGTTACCTCAGACACCCAAAAACTGCTCTTGAGAAAATAGTGACCAAATAAAAAACAACAAAACCCACAAGTAGGTTTAATAGAGTTTAAAACACTAATTTTTAAATTATTAATATTTGCTGTGTGCCAAACACTTAAACTATCTCAATTTATCTCTAAAAACATTACAGAAAATGTACTGCAACTATAGCTGTTTCTCAGATAAGAAAACAGCCTCTCAGAGAGGTTAAATATCCTCCTGACATTCACACAGCGGATAAATAGTTAAGACAAGCCAGGTTCCAGAATCTGTGAATATAATGAGTATGCTACACTGTACGAACAGTAATATGAAGAATTAGCTAAAAATATATACTCAAAGGAACAGAATTGCCTAACTGAATGTTCAGTTCATATTTATCCTCAGTGGAAACTGTGTTAGCTAAGAGCACTGTTTTATTCCATTCATTTCCAAAGACACACACACACACACACACACACACACACACACACACACACACACCCCTTATGAACTGCTGGAACTTTGCTTACACTAGAGAATAAAATGCTTCCTTTTCCTCCTTCTACCTATATTTTCAATTGTTTTACTCCTATTGTATTTTAGACTTCCGTCATTGGTTTGCATATCTCATTTTTCCCTACTTGCATATCTTAGCCCCTTCAAATGGTCAATGACTTTGGGAAATCTGACCAAATGTGTTGTATCCATAATTATCTCACTCTTACATCACCTCATTGCCTCCACACTTTATGACTCAAAAAATGTGCATCATTGGGTCAAAGTTACTGGCAAAAGTCATTACCTCAAAATTGTTAAACCCAGTGATTATTTTAAGTCTTTGGCTTAGTTGATATTTTTGTAGCAGTACTTGATCTCATTTTCTTTAAACACTATCCTACATAGATTTCTTAAATACCTCTTGCTGTCTCATAAGTCAGTATCTGTGGTTTCCAGATGTGTGCAACCTATGGCATCCTGAGCATCTTGTCCTAGATGGCCTTAGAATTTATGCCATGTCCAGTCTCATCATTATTCATCTATACTCTCCATACTGTTAGACACATTGCCTGCCCATGCAGATGCTCAACTTAAAAATCTTTAAGTCCCACTTGTCTCCAACATTCGATAACCACTTCTAACCCAAAGATCAGTTCATCATACCTTTAACACCACTTGTTTTGGTACTCTTATTTTCAGCTTCACTTCACTAGAGTTAGTGACTAACTCTAACACAAGATAGTTGCTTAATACATATTTATTTGAAAATAAATAATTAAATGAATAAATAATACATGATTAAGTAATATTTCTTTGAATTTATGTGAAATAATGGTGTTATTTTGCAAAGCAAAGTTTGAATCTTTCACCTAATGATTTGCAGCAAAGTCAAGTAAGGACACTAAGATATTGCCTTAAACTCTCAATACTGCAAGTACACTAATTTGGAGCAGGAGGGTGGAAGAAACCCATTATCTATTTTATTGCAGACAGATGCATTTTTAAGAACATGCTACTGAATGTATTAGTAAACATATCATTTCCAGTTCTGTTTGAGAGAAAAGAAATTAAAACTGATCTTACATGTAAACGCAAAACAATTAAATTTTCTTCTTGAAGTAATAGGAAGAAATTACTGACTTGAATATAGAAAAATAAAAGTTTATTTACCCTTAGTTTATCATTTTTACCTTCAATTGATTGGCAATGGCATGGAGATTGGTTAAAATCAGTCACTAGACATTTTTGCCAAAATACTTACTGTCTTTGCCCATGCATCTTTTAAGCATCTTGTGCAACTATGTGGTTTATTTGTTTAATGATTTCTGCCAGTTTTCCTTTAACATATATTGAATCAGATATTTCTCAGTGTCTACACTCACCTGATAATACAATAGGTTGTTAGGATTAATTTTTACTTATTCAAGGTATCATTTGTTTGAATTCTACACAAATATACTCAGGGAGTGATCTCTTCCTTCTCTTTCTCACGCCCCGCCCTTTCCTTTCTCATTCTTTCCTGAAAAAATCCATCCATGCATCATATGAAAAAAGAGAGCTTATTAAAATCCTTGATATTTGCTGGGAAATCCCTCTCACAAATTCATTAAGCTTATATTTTTTTATTTCTTATTCTAATACATGCTTCCCTTCAGGCATAGTGACTCATGCCTGTAATCCCAGCACTTTGGGAGCCTGAGGTGGGAGATCACTTGAGACCAAGAGTTTGAGACCAGCTTGCACAATATAGCAATATTCTGTCTCTACAAAAAACAAAAAAAAATAGCTGGCATGGTTGTGCACACCTCTAGATCCAGCTACTCAGGAGATTGAAGTGGGAGGATCATGTGAGCTCAGGAATTTAAGGGTACAGTGAGCTGTGATCCCATCACTGCACTCTGGCCTGGGCAACAGAACAAGATCCTGTTTCTTAAAATACGTAAATACGTAAAAATAGTGCATGCTTCTGAATTCTTGATCATACAGACGATCTCAGGAGTCATTGAATATTACCTTTCTTCTTTCATCAAATTATAAAAGCAGTAGTTTAGACCTTTTTAAAGCCTCCAAAGTCTTTTTCATTTGAGAGCGCTGAGACATGGATGCGTCTGCACAACTGAGGTAAAAGTCAACTTAACATCGTTCTTTAAACCATTAGAAAACCTTATAAAAATCTTCCAGTCAACTTAGATCCTTAAGCTTCTTGTCTAAATATAGGAAACTACATAAGTAATTTTAGGAAAATATTTCATGCTTTCATCTTTTAACCAATACTTTTCATTTAATATTATTTGTAAATTATTTATTTTGAGCAAGTCACTGAGTTGCTGGGGCATCACGTGCATGTGGAAAATATCAAAGCATTTCCAACTTACATGGCGCTCATTGTCTAACATGGGAAGGGAGGTATTTATTAAAGAATCATATAAATAACTACAATTAAAATTAAGATAAATGTGACAAAGGAGAGGTGCGTAGCTGATGATAACTCACACAGCGCATGCTTATCACCTGTCTCCCACGTGTCAGGCACCTCTATACTCTGTGGCTGCAGGAGTGAACCAAAAATTAACTCTCCCCTGTAGTGAGGACAGTAGTCTAGTCAGATAGATCATAAAAGGCTCTCCTTGATTGAGCTGAGATCTGAAAGAAGTGTTGAATATAACCAGATTAAAGGAGTGGGCTTAGGAGAGAAAGTGTCATAGAAATAGATATACTATATAAAAAGGAAAGAAAATGCCTGGAGCATAGAGAGAAAGGATAGAGTGGTCAAAGTTGCAGATGGAGAGATAGATGCACAGACTATGCAAAGCCTTACATAGCAACTTAGGAGATTTATCTCCTTAAGTGATGGAAGCCAAGCCTTTTTAAACATGACTAAGCTTGCTTTTCTTTTAAACTTGTTACTGCTTGAAATGTAGCGAGAAGATTGGAAAAGGCTAAAAATGGTTGTAGAGAAACCCTCTAGCACAATAGTGCACTTGGTAAAGTGAGAGATGATGATGGTTAGGATAAGAACTTTGGTATTAGAGTTGAGAGAACCACAAGATTTGTAATAAACCTAAAAAAAATGACAGGATTTGGATTATATTTAATTTGATATAAGACAGATGGTGTCAAGATGATTCTTAAGTTTCAGATTTCTACTGCTAGACAAATGGGACTGACATTCCCTGAAAGATGAAATATCAGAAAAAGGATGTAATTCTGTGGGCCAAAGAAGAAAATCAGAATTTTATTTTTTGAACAAGTTCTGTTTGAGGAGCCTTTCACATATGTAATTTGACTCGCTACATAGATGTTTGGCTATCCAGGCTTGGCATTTGGAGCAGTTGTGAGGCTACAGATATAGTGACCATCCATATACAGGTGATATTTGAAACCACAGGAGTAAATGAATGCACGTGATTATTAAATAAGAAAAGATTGATGAGACCCAATTGCAAAAAAATCCCACATGTAGCTGCTGGATGGAAGAAGACAAGATGGCAAAACAGATATAGAAGTAGTAGCGGAAAATGTAGAAATTAAATAAAATCAGTGTTAAGACATTATAGGCAAGGGACTAAAGGGTTGGAAGGAAATGGGACTGTTTAACAATGGTGAATGTTACTGGAAGATCAAATCACTTAATGGGTACAATGTATGTCATTCAGGTTATGACCACCTCGAAAGCCCTGACTTCACCACTATGCAATCTACACATATAAAAAAATTGCACTTGTAACCCGTAAATTAATACAAATAATAAGATAAAAAAATAAAGAAAAAAACCCCAACAGCATGAAAAGAAAAAAAGGCTGGAAAATTTGAGGGATGGACAACATGAATGGCTACAGTAACCTTAGTAAGAGCTAATTTTATGGAAATGATGTCTACCAATCATTTTCCAAAAGAAGCTATAAGAAAATTAAAACTGTGTTCTGATTATTTCCTAATTAGTTTTTTGGCATATAGTGGTACAATTTTGGGAGGAAAGCTGGATATGCATTTTTTAAAAATTGCTTTCTGGACTAATTAACAATTTGTAATGAGAGGTGAAGCCAGCTGGACGTCTGGGTTGGGTGGACACTTGGAGAACTTTTCTGTCTAGCTAGAGGATTGTAAATGCACCAAATCAGCACTATGTGTCTAGCTAAAGGATTGTAAATGCACCAATCAGCACTCTGTAAAAGTGCACCAATCAGCACTCTGTAAAAATGCACCAGTCAGCACTCTGTGTCTAGCTAAAGGATTGTAAATGCACCAACCAGCACTCTGTAAAATGGACCAATCAGAGCTCTGTAAAATGGACCAATCAGCAGGATGTGGGCAGGGCCAAATAAGGGAATAAAAGCTGGCCACCCAAGCCAGAAGCGCAATGCACTTGGGTTGCCTTCCACGCTGTGGTAGCTTTGTTCTTTCGCTCTTTACAATAAATCTTGCTGCTGCTCACTCTTTGGTTCTGCACTGCCTTTATAAGCTGTGACACTCACTTCGAGGGTCTGCAGCTTCATTCCTAAAGTCAGAGAGATCACAAACCCACCAGGAGGAACAAACAACTCTGGACACGCCACCATCAAGAGCTGTAACACTCACTGAGAAGGTCTGCGGCTTCACACCTGAAGTCAGCGAGACTACGAACCCGCCAGAAGGAAGAAACTCCAGACATGTCTGAACATCTGAAGGAACAAACTCCGGACACACCATCTTTAAGAACTGTAACACTCACTGCGAGGGTGCGTGGCTTCATTGAAGTCAGTGAGACCAAGAACCCACCGGAAAAAATAAATTCCGGACACAGTAGCTCTTCTAAATATTTAGTATTTAAAAGGTTCAGGCAGCAGAAAATGGGATTCTTTTAGAAAAGTGTAAGAAAAAAGTTAACAAAAGAATAGAAGAACATTACTTAATGTATATGAATTAAATAATTTGGATGACATAAGAGAAAGAGAAGCAATAAACTCTATTCAGTATTGAAAAATGTGGCTACATTTAAGTCTTCATGACACTAAAGTGTGATTTTTTATTTATTACGTACAAATAATTATAAATATTCCTTTTATAACCATTTTAATTTTTACAAACATCTATTTAAGGTGAAGAAAAGTATCTTTATTATCGATGGTTTTTATATCTATGGTCTAATTGTCATATAAACTATGACAGTAACTTTTCTGTTTTGCAATATGCCATGTCATTTCCTTCTGAAAGAGAATGAATTACTCAGTAAAATTATATACAAATTGATTTTTTTTACAGTTTTATTTTATTTTATTATTATTATACTTTAAGTTTTAGGGTACATGTGCACAATGTGCAGGTTAGTTACATACGTATACATGTGCCATGCTGGTGTGCTGCACCCATTAACTCGTCATTTAGCATTAGGTATATCTCCTAATGCTAGCCCTCCCCCCTCCCCCCACCCCACAACAGTCCCCAGAGTGTGATGTTCCCCTTCCTGTGTCCATGTGTTCTCATTGTTAAATTCCCACCTATGAGTGAGAACATGCGGTGTTTGGTTTTTTGTCCTTGCGATAGTTTACTGAGAATGATGATTTCCAATTTCATCCATGTCCCTACAAAGGACATGAACTCATCATTTTTTATGGCTGCATAGTATTCCATGGTGTATATGTGCCACATTTTCTTAATCCAGTCTATCATTGTTGGACATTTGGGTTGGTTCCAAGTCTTTGCTATTGTGAATAGTGCTGCAATAAACATACGTGTACATGTGTCTTTATAGCAGCATGATTTATAGTCCTTTGGGTATATACCCAGTAATGGGATGGCTGGGTCAAATGGTATTTCTAGTTCTAGATCCCTGAGGAATCGCCACACTGACTTCCACAATGGTTAAACTAGTTTACAGTCCCCCCAACAGCGTAAAAGTGTTCCTATTTCTCCACATCCTCTCCAGCAAATTGATATTTTTAAAGATATAAAGAATGTAAGAGAACTATTATGGTGGAAACATTATGAAACATAATGGAAAAAAGTGTAGACAAATAAAGCAATCCTATTGTAGGAAGAAAAAGAACTATATTAATTTTCAAAATTAATGAACTAAGTGACCTAAATAAAGATTATTTTGAAAAGAGTATTGTTCCTGGAAGAGATTGCTTATCCCGGTTTTAGTGATAAACTTTTGGTTTTTCTTTTTCATGCCTATGTCAAAACAACAATAAAAATAATAGTTTACATCAATAGATCACATCATGACAATCACCTACTTTACAAGTAGTTGAAATGTTATTTCAGTGAGAAAGTTTGCAATGAAAAACATTGTTCACTGAACTAAACAGTCTCTTCACAGACGTTGTTGATTGTGATTTAACTTCTAGCAGAATCTCTGTATTCTTTTATACACCTGGTAATGAACATTGCAAAGAATGGGAGTTGATGAGTAGTACTAATCTACAAAACTTTGAAGAGCCAATGACCAACATCTCCTTATTCACTCCACATTACCCCATAGACAGGAGGAATATGTTTTTGAAAGGGTGATGATAGTTAATAATAATGTATTGTACATTTCAAAATTTCTCAGAAAGTTTCAAATGTCTTACCACAAAAATTTAAGTGGTAGATTTCTTAATTAGCTTGATTTAATCATTTCACATTGTATACATCATCAAAACATCACATAGTACCCCACAGATAAATAAAATTATAGCCTGTCAAATTAAAATAATATTGATAAATGTAAACTATACAAGACAAGAAAAAAAAAACTATAGCTACCTGCGTCCTACCCAAACTTAAAAAAATTTTTCAAGAGACAGAATTTTTAACGTATTTTAAAATTTATATATGATTGATATGTATATATATTATTATAATATATTTTAATAGAATTATATTTTTTAATTCTCTAAATAATTCTAATATTCAAATGGGTTTCAGAAGTACTGGTTTAACTAATCTTACTTTCCTTTACTCAGCTATAAAAATAAAATAAAAATTTTAGGGAAATCTGAATATTCAGTTTATCATTAGCTTATATGTTTAGACATCTGCTGCATTAAGAGTAACTATGGTGTTAAATCAATAATTACTACATTTTCCTGATATTTTCAGGTTATTTTCATAAATGAGGAGACTAAAAATGATTTCTGTTTCCATGCATTCATTTAAAATAAATGTTATTGAAGATCTATTATCCAATTCATATTGGCTGTTATGTTTCTTCTGAACATAGATAAAACACAAACATTTACATTGCTGGTAGTATTTAAGAGTTGCTACTATTTAGATTAAGTGTTAAATTCTGAAAACATAAAGAATAAGAAGTGACGTGGACTTTAAGGGTTTATAATCTAGCTAAGGAAAAAACTGTTGCAAATAGAAATAAAATATAATGAAGTTTGTCCATGTTCAAAGGTTTGAATAAAATACTGTGTTAGAACAGAATTAATTCTCCCAGTTGGTTGTGACCAAGCTAATCTCTGCTAAAACGTAGTAATTGACCTATGTCCTGAATAATGAAGAGAAATTTTCAAGATGGGAGAAGGGAGCAAACATTTTACAGGCAGAAGAAATATTATGTAATAAAGCACAAGAACCAAAATTTCATGGTGGGCTTGTGAGCTGTTTGTGTTTTTATATGACTGGAGCTCAGAATTATTATAGTGTAATAAATGATTTTGGAAAATGAAGGGGTGAGGCGAGGAAGTGCAGACTATAAAAACATTCAAAGACATGCTTAAATGTTTATATGGGCATGTGTATATATATTCATTTATATACTGCTTTGATCTAAACGTAAAGTTATCCTACATGGATGAATTACATGAAAAGAGATAGGTACTATTAAAATAATATTAAAATTTAGAGAAATCCAGAATAACAGCAAAAAATAAGGGCGTGAAAATGCAATGGAGTGGTGGTATTTCAACCACAAAAAAGAAAACAATGCATGTTAGGATGGCATACCTGCTTTCCAGATAGCAAATAAAACATTTGTTTCAAGTGTTCTGTCACTTTGTGTAAAAATGTACACTCATCTATTTAAAATAATTTAATTGCATCTATAAGCTATAAAGAAATTTAGACTTTTTAATTTTAGTTACCATGTTATAATCCAAGTGATGTGTGTGGTAGTGTTACCCAGTCATTATCTTTGATTTTTCTTTCTCTTTCACATCTCATGTCCCATCCATACAGTGAATTCTGTCATGTCTATCTCCAAAATATATCATTTGAAAATATACTTATCTTCCTATTTTTGCCATTATTTTAGTTAATGGTACCAACTCTATAACTTGTGTGGTAGGCAGAATTTTAAGATCATCCCCAAGAGTCTCACCACTTATACAAGCCCCAGATTTTGATATGTATAATGATATCACAACTGAAGTAAAAGCATGGAGTATTCACAGCTTATAACAGCCTTCTCTTTGATGTGGCCATGACATTCACACACACAAACGTATATATATGTAATATATTGTATATATATACACATATATGCATTATATATGTACACACATATACACACATATGTGTGTATATATCTATATCTAATCAATATCTAAATCTATATCTATGTGTGATGGGTTATCATTACCACTATTAGATTACATCATAATTCAATGCTAAAAGAATTTTGTAGATATAATTAAAGACCCTGATTAACTGATTTTAAGTTAATCAAAAGGCAGAGTTTCCTCGGTGGATCTGATTTAATCATATGGGCCCTTTAAAAGAGTCTCTAGAAGTAGGAAAGAAGCTCTCCTCAGTCTTGAAGATGTAAACCACCATGGTATGAAGTCGGCGATGTGACAGAGATTGATGGACAACTTCTAGGAGCTGAAGTCCTCAGTCCTACAAACATGAAGAACTCAATTTTGCCTGCAACCAGTGAGCTAGGAAAAGGACCTTAAGTTTCAGATGAGATCAACACCTTGGCTGTACACATATGATCTTGAACAGACAACACAATTAAGCTGTGTTCAGTGTCCTAATCCATGAATATTGGGAGATAATAAACATACAGTTGACTCTTGAGCAACACAGGGGTTAGGATGCTAACCACCTGTGCAGCTGAACATTTAGGAATAATTTTTGACTCTCTGGAAACTTAACAATTAATAGCCTATCATTGTCCAGATGCCTTAAGATAACATAGTCAATTAACAAGTATTTTTTGTTTTATATGTATTATATACTATATTTTCACAATTTAGTAAGCTAAAAAAGAAAATGTTTTTAAGAAAATCATAAGAAAGAGAAAATACATTTATAGCACTCGACTGTACTTGTGAATGATTTAAGTTTAGACTGCCTGTTTACACAATGAATGGTCCATATGAAATGGCGGCACCCGCAGCTGCAGACCTCAATCTATGGTAGATATCAAGCAATTTAACTTTTTCTTCTAAGGTTATGCCTCTCATCTGCTTTTTAGGAGCACTTCCAACATCACAAGTGGCCCTTCATATGCATCTCATGGTGTTATTCAAGGTTTACAGTAGTGCTCTGAACACAATGAAAAATACATAGGAACCTTAAGAAATCACTTTTTACTGCCATATGCAATTTACTGGAGAGACGAACTGCTCTTGCAGAGATGATGAACGTCACACAGCATTTTTAGCGGATGCTTGCAACACTTAAGTTCACCACAACAGCAACAGGAGGTGGCTTTGAAATTATTATGGTAGTATATAGTAGAGTTAATTATGTGCAGTGATAATTTAATTCTGCCTCCTTATATTTGTTTACATTTCTCTTGGCTGGGAATGGCACTGTGTATAGTCTGTAAGTATTTTTGGGTGTAAGTTTTGATGAAGTTTAACCTTGTACAATAGATTTTTGCATATTCTACAGTGGTAAGTGATAAAATAGACTAGGATAGACAAGGATCTACATATTTCATGTATTTATAACATAACTAACTTTTTCTTAATTATTTCAATAGTTTTAGGCTACAAGGTTCATCTGTGAGTTTTTCATCTTGTCGCAAGTCTGCACAAAGTTTTCCAATATATTTATCGAAAAAATCTACATCAGTCAATCAACACAGTTCAAGTTGGCATTGTTCAAGGGTCAACTGTATACTGTTTTAAGCTGTTGAATTTATGGCATTATGTTAATCAGGTTTTGGTACTGGAAAGTGGGCTGCAGGTACAATGGAGATATAAAAGGGTGGGGAAGTTTTGGAACTGAGAAGTGAGTGGAGAAAAATTCTGAGGAGCATAGTAGAGAAAGTCTAAATCACTGAGATAAGGCCTAAATCTTCATCAGACTGCTAGTGATAATCTGCACTCTAAAGATGTTACCCCAGTGCAGGCTCAGAAGGAAGTGAGGAACATGTTATTGGAAACCAGAGGAAGGAAGTTACTTGTTAAGTAGTGGCAGAAAGCTTAGTGAAATTGTGACCTGCAGTTATACAGAAAGCAGAATTTGTAAAGAAAGAACCTGGCCATAGCTAGGGAGATTTCTGAGTAAAATGTTAAAGTATGTACCCCTGTCTTCTTGCTGTTTATAGCAAAATAGGAGAGGAAAGAGATAAATTAAAGGAAGAACTGTTAAACAAAAAGGAATCAGGCTAGATAATTTTGTAAGTTCTCTGCCTCTCCAGATGACAAAAATGTTAAGTATCAGAAATATCTGCCAAAACTAGTATAGAGAAAGACTGAATGTATGACTACAACCTTTCGTTAAAATTTCAGATTGATCAAAAGATCAAAGTAGTCAGCCACAGAAAGGACCTTTTCAAGAGAGTGGGAACATGCCTCATATTTCTTTTTACTTAAACCAGAAGGCCTTTAGAAAGCTTGAGGGTATTGTCCCCTCAGCCACTTCAGCAGAAGCCTAAGATAGAGACAGGATTATCTCAAGAAAGATCTGTGAATGTGGCTTTTGTCTAATGGAGGAAAATTCTATGAAATCCCCACAAGACCCACAAATATTTTGAAAAATTCATTTCAGCAGAAACACTGCCAGCTGTGATTGAAATGGACTGAGAGAGTACAAAATGGTAGGAGGTTATGGGCCCTCAGAAATTCTACTGGCAGGAAGAAGGCTATTAAAACTACTCAGTGGCAAACGTATACTACCCTCCATGAAAAAGGAAGGACAACTCAGAAGACAGAAACAAGAGCCCACACAACTTGGCCAAGAGTCAGTGAGAGTTATTCCCAGGCTTTGAAACCTAATTAAGGGAAATGCTGCGCTTGTCTACTGTGTTTCAGACTATGATGGCCAGTGACTCCTTTTTACTTTTTATTTACTCTCCTTCTGAAATGGAATATTGATATAGTTCAGATATTTGTCCCCTCCATATCTCATGTTGAGATGTGATCCCCAGTGTAGAAGGTGGGGCCTAGGGAGAGGTGTTTATGTCATGAGGGCAGACTCCTCATGAATGGTGTGGTGCCCTCCCCACAGTAATGAGTGAGTTCTCAGCCTATGAGTCCCTGTGAGAGATGCTTGTTTAAAAGAGCATGGCGTCACCCCTCCCTCTCTCATTTCCTCTCTCACAATGTAACATACCAACCCCCTCTGTCCTTCCCCCATGATTGGAAGCTTTCTGAAGCCCTCACCAGAAGCAGATACTGGAGCCATGCTTCATATGCAGTGTGCAGAACCATGGGCTAAATAAATCTCTTTTCCTTATAAACTATTGAGCCTCAGGTATTCTTTCATAGCAATGCAAACAGACTAACACAAATATCTACAATCTACACCTGCTATCCCTTGCCTTTCTCTTCATTGTTTGGAGTGTTAAAAGCCAATAATTTGTCTCCTTAATGGGGGGCTGGTGGGGAGAGAGAGAGAGAAATGCCCTGCCCCAGGATCTGTATAAATACAGATGATACAGTATGATTACTCCTAGGGGACTCATTCACATCTCATTTAGATGATGGCATTTTAAACTTTGAGTTGATGAGATGTAGATTTAGATGATGAGATTCTGGAAATTGAGCCATTGCTATAATGATATGCAACTTTTGAGAGTCTTGGGAGAGAGTAAACATAGTTTGCATGTGGGAAAGAAGTAAATTGCAGGTGGATAGTAATAGGTAGAATTCTCAGACTTCCCCCAGAGTTGAGCTCCCTGATGTACATGCCTTGTATAATCACTTCCTCCTGAATGTGGGTCGAACCGTTGACTATGATGGGAAATCATTTCCAAAGTTAGGTTCTATTATATGGAAAAGGTGAAGGGATTTTGCAGATGGAATTAAGGCCCTTTTCAGTTTACTTTGAGTTTATCTAAAGATGATTATTTTGGGTAGGCTTGGACAAATCAGTTGGGCTCATAAAAGAGGTTCTAGAAGTCAGTGCCTCTCTTTCATGTTGTCTTTGAAAAAGGAAACTGCCCTAACTCCTACAATACATGATGTCTTTGAAAATTAAAACTGCCCTAACTTCTACAGCTTCAAAAATAAAACAACTAATTATGCTAAAAAATATATGAGATTGGGAGAATACCCCAAGCCTCAGATAAGACCTCAGCCATGGCTGCCAGCTTTATTTCTATCTGTGTTAACAAAAAACTTGGATATCTTCATAAATTTTAAGAAGAGAATTATTCCTTATAAAAGATGACAGCCTACCAGGGGGCCATTCTTTTTTTTTTTTTTTGAGATGGAGTCTTACTCTATCCCCGCCAGGCTGGAGTGCAGTGGTGCCATCTTGGCTCACTGCAACCTCTGCCTCCCGGGTTCAAGCCATTCTCGTGCCTCAGCCTCCTGAGTAGCTGGGACTACAGGTGCCTGCCACCACGCCCAGCTAATTTTTATATTTTTAGTAGAGACGGGGTTTCACCATGTTGGCCAGGCTGGTCTTAAACTCCTCACCTCAGGTGATTCGCCTCCCTCAGCCTCCCAAATTGCTGGGATTACAAGCATGAGCCACCTCATCCGGCCAAGGGGGCCATTCTGACAGGTTGGGAAGCACAGCCTCTGGCTGAAACACAAAGGCAGGCATGTGGAAGGTAGGGAGGGTGGAACAGGGATTTATGCTGAATGGGTTGGCCAAGTATACATATTTAACAGGTTATAGGAGGAGCTGTGAATATTTGTGAAGGGGGTCCTAACACATGTGTACTGAATAAATGTGCATGTTACATACAAGCCATGTCCGCTTTGGGTTGGAGACTTAACATTAAATGTATTACAGTTTCCTTACAGTTCCCATTACCATGAAAGCATTCAGTGCCTCCATGTGCCTTCCATGCCTTCACGTGTGTAACTGCTTCATAAAGTATAGGGAACTGTAAATAAACGGTAATACATTTAAATGTTAAGTGTTCACCCCAAAATGAACATGGGTTGTATGTAACATGCATGATTCTTCAGCCAGAATCATTCCGTGGCTGGAAGTCTCTTCTCAGGAGACAGTTACTGAAATCAGCCTCTTGTTAAATCAAAGTTGTAGTTATGACATTTTGAACTCAGGCAGGGCCAAGAGAAGTGGTCAGTTAGTCAACAGGCCTGGCCGTGGGTGAGCTGCAATTGTTTTAAGATAGCTTCTCTCCGGGCCAGTACTTGTTTAGATGCTAGAGAAAAAGAGAAACCTTGTGGCAGTCAGAATATGGTTTATTCTTGGAGTGTAGGGGTGCGTGACTTAACCCTTGCCTGGCATGGCTTTAGCTCTTATTCATAATTTGGAATTTTACTTTCATAAAGCGTCTGTTCTGTCAGTCTTATGATCTCTATTCTAACATTAATGATGCTCACTTGTGCCTCAACTGCAAAAGGACGAGGGTATAACAAGGCATCATAGACCTTCCATCTAGTCGTGGCTGGGAGCTCAGTTTTTAAACTTTCTCTGGTATACCCTTGTCCATGAAGGGCTACATTTGGTCTGTTGGAGGGCATAGGATTTTACTTTCAGTTCTCACTTTAGTTTTCACTTGTGAGACCCTGTGCAGATATCACCTGTAAGGCATAGCAGGACTGGACTCATGAAAACTGCAAAATAATAGTTTAATCATATAAGTTTGTAGTGATTTTTTATGCAGAAATAAATATCAGATTACTATAGTAACTTGTTTACTGTTTTTTCTATGGCAAGTATATATTTTCTTCCATTATTTTCCCTATAATGGAACATATTGCTATAACAATAAATTAAATATTATGGTAGTTTCTGCTTAGAAGTCTTCAATAGCTTTACACTGAACTGCAAATAAATATTACCTATGAGGAAAAAACTACAAATCCATTGCATTCTAGTTTCTGCTAATTTACTCAAATTTAGATTCAACTACTCTCTTTCTCTTTTAATGCTTAAAATACAAATTACATCCCTTCAATCATCTTAATTCCAGAGAAGGGCCTTCTCTTATGTTATTCTCTCTGTCAGAAATACATTTCTTCATAATTTAAGATTTTTTTAAAAAAATAAAATCGTTAGTTCTGTTTCTCTGCTTATTGTCAACTTTTTTCCCCTGCGGAAACTTGGGTCGTTTGTATACTTATTGTCAACTTTCAGAAAGCCTTTTCCTGTATCCATTTGTAACTAGACCTACCTCAACAATTAAAAGCAAGAAACAAAAATCTTCTCCTGTATTCTATTCCTTTTTTTTTAATCACATACAACTATTTGTTATTACTAATTTCATTTTATTGTTTTTCTCTGGATGACATTGTAACTATTTGTCTTGTCTTTTTATATTCGCAACTATATTCAGTTGCTCCTCAACTTAAGATAGGGTTGTCTTGATAAATCAATCAGAAATTGAAAATGCAATTAATACGTCTAACCTACTCACCATCACAGCTTAGCCTAGTGTACCTCAAATGTGCTCAGAAAACTTATATTCGCACATAGTTGGGTAAAATCATGTAACACAAAGCCTATTTTATAATAAAGTGTTGAGGGTCTCATGTAATTCATTGACTACTGTTCTAAAGGTGAAAAACAGAAAGGTTGTATGAAAACTTGATGTCTGCTTCTACTGAATATGAATCACTTTCACATCAGCAGAAAGTCAAAAAATTGTTTAGATAGAACCATTGTAAGTTGGGAACCATATGTAATAAAAAGTATATCTGAATTGAATGAAATTAATTCAACTGATGATGTTTCGAAACAAATAGTAGTGTTTCAAAACAAACTGTAAGGAAGTGTAAGGAAGGTGTTTCAAAACAAACACCACTATTCCTAATACTGATACCGGAGAGAAATGTTGCCTGTGGACCTTAGCAGAATAGACTGTGAATAGCAGTGGAAAATATTCTCAAAAATATCCCTGGAGTCACCAGAATCACATGTTTCTTTTAATGTCATTTAACATAGGCTGATGGTATCACGCAAACTTCAGTTTAGTAAAAGTGACTTCTCCTGTTAGATGATAATTAATGTGATCCTACATAGGTGTCAGGCTTATCTATACTTAATCAAAGAGTGAATTGTCCTGAATCTCAATGAACTGGAGGTGTAGGCCTTTATAAAGTTTTTAACATTATTCCTCTCATTTGAGAATTTATGGTAACCAGAAAAAAAAATAAAGTTTTTTAATATTGTTAATTAAAAATGGAGCACCTTGATTTAGAAAGTGATGATATTGTTGACATCTTTAAATTAAAATTCAAAAGAACTCATGCCTGACTCAATCTCTATAAGAAAGTGGATCAAAAAGTATTTATAATAAGTTAACTTTGTCATCAAAAGTAAATTGAGGTTAGTTCAATTTAAGAAATCAAACTAAGAGGGTTTTTAATGTCACAAAACTAAAGCAATGGTCTGCAAATATTTTCAATACATGTTAATATCAATAAAACTTTGAACACACACACCCAGTACCGCTCTATTATTTATTAATAACTGCATGTATGGCTCTGCTAATACAAGGTGAAGATGGTGTTTATTTCAAAAGGGATTAACAACTTAGAATAAAAATATAAAGACAAATGGGATATTTAGATAAATCTATTATGTAATATATTTCTTTACAAAACATTTTGTATTCTAAAATGTTTTTGTGTTTTAGACATTTGGTTTATAATGGGCATGCACAGCATGATCCCTTCATATCAACATTAACTTAGACCTTAAGGAATGGTATGTGTGCACTTAACAATGTTCACCCTTAACAATGAAAAGAAATTTTTTTTTGAGACGGAGTCTCGCTCTGTCCCCAGGCTGGAGTGCAATGGCGATATATCTCTGCTCACTGCAAGCTCCGTCTCCCGGGGTCACGCCATTCTCCTGCCTCAGCCTCCCGAGTAGCTGGGACCACAGGTGCCCACCACCGTGCCCAGCTAATTTTTTTTCTGTATTTTTAGTAGAAACGGGGTTTCACCGTGTTAGCCAGGATGGTCTCGATCTCCTGACCTCGTGATCCACCCACCTCGGCCTCCCAAAGTGCTGGGATTACAGGCGTGAGCCACCGCGCCTGGCCAACAATGAAAAATATTTAAATCTACATTTAAAGAGAAATTTTTTTTGTAATATTTAATATTTTGGCAGGCTTTCTTTCAGGTCTTCTTATATTGGTATTATCTTTATGTTATAATATGTTGAGAAATAACTAATTTTAAAACAATTTACATCCAATTGCACTCACATTATTGATCTTTAATTTGTCATTCTTGTGTAATCAAGATTATTAGGTCATTTGACTATTTTACTATTTTATGATGAAATAGTTGGGCTAAATTTGAAAATGCAATTCATATATCTTTTTTGGGGGGGGGGCAGCGGGGGGATGGAGTTTTGCTCTTATTGCCCAGGCTGGAGTGCAATGGCATGATCTAGGCTCACTATAACCTCCCACCACCTCCCTGGCTCAAGCGATTCTCCTGTCTCAACCTCCCGCATAGCTAGGATTACAGGTGCCCACCACCATGTCTGGCTAATTTTTGTATTTTTAGTAGAGACAGGATTTCACCATGTTGCTCAGGCTAGTCTCCACCTCCTGGCTTCAGGTGATCCACTCTCCTCAGCTTTCCAAAGCGCTGGGATTACAGGCATGAGCCACCACACCCGGCCCACTTATCTTCTTTATTGATCTATTGAAATCTGCTAAGGAAATTTAGAGTGAGAGTACCACTACCCGTGTTATCTATGATATGTCCCCATCTGAAATAAGCCAAGTGTAGATGTTTGTTTTGATTATTGGGTTAAATATCAATACATATTTATATGGTCATTATTTATTTATTTATTTATTTATTTATTTATTTATTTATTTTGAGACAGAGTCTCACTCTGTTGTCCAGGCTGGAGTGCAGTGGTGCCATCTCAGCTCACTGCAACCTCCGCCTCCCAGGTTCAAGTGATTCTCCTGCCTCAGCCTCCTGAGTAGTTGGGATTACAGGTGTGCACCACCAAGCTAGGCTAATTTTTGTATTTTTAGTAAAGATGGGGTTTCACCATGTTGGTCAGGCTGTTCTCGAACTCCTGATCTCATGATCCACCTGCTTCAGCCTCCCAACGTGCTGGTATTACAGACATGAGCCACCACGCCCAGCCTATATTGTCATTCTTATACATAAAATATCAATATGAATTAATATTCTAATATTTTACTTTCTCTACAGTTCAATGAACAGAGTGTACAGATCATGGAGGATGTATCACTCTATAGGACAATTGCCTTAAAGTGGAGAAAGTAATAACATTACTTAGGTATCAATCTGTAGTGTGCATTTTTTAAAATCCAAATTCTCAGTATGCCCCTCCTCCAGAGATTTTTAACTGGGGCCGAACTGTCTGCTTTATTAAAATACACTTTATGTCATTCTGATGCAAAGCAAGATATTTTTAAAGCACAATTTGAGTATTGCTACAGTGCTGTTGAGGTCACAAAAACATAGTTTTTATGTAGACAATGGTTTGAGGAAAAACACTATAGGAACTTGGAATACTAATTAGGAGGCTATAACAATAGAATAGAGAGTGAGAAATAATAAATCTCTGTACTAAAGGAGTTACTATTGTGCGGCAAGAAGAAGTATACATGTGATATTTAGAAAGTAAGATAAATATGAACACAGGATTGATTAATTTTGAATAACAGAGGGAAAATTATCAAGAATGGTTCCCAGGTTTCAAGCCTGGTTTGTGGCACAGAAAGTCCTCTTCATTTTCAAATTTGGTAGGAAAATAATGAAAAAAATGCATATTTTAGGGAAAATTAGATAACCAAAGAATAACATAAAAAAGGAGAAATAGGTAAAATGTAATAACAGGGCTCTTCAGGATTTAATTGATGGGATGAAAGATCAGGGTAAGAGGATTGAGAAAAAAATGGATGTCCACTAAGTACATTTTAAGAAGTAGTTTGTGGTGGCGAGACTAAAAAAAATAAGAATTTAGGATAATGTTAGTGACTTTAATGTAATTAATATGGTGGGGTTGACAACCAGGTTACCCTGGGTTGAGAAAATAGGAAATGTGAAAATGGGAAGTGGAGATACTGAACATAACATGATCCTTTCAAGAATCTTAAATAGAAAGAGAAGGTAGGAAATGAGCTTTTTGCTTGGGGGGAAAATACAAGTTATAAAGTAGAGGAGAGCATAGAGTATAGTACAGATTGAGAGGAAAGGCAGTGCAGTGGAGAAGTCGTTACAAAATAAATGTGTGACAGATATAACTTAATTTGCTTAGAATACCAAATTGGCCCCATTCCCTGATGTTCTGAGTTTAACAGCTTCTTCAGACTTCTGGGAGCGACTGCAAGAAAGACGGAGTTTGGGTAGAGAAAGCTGGAATGTTTCTTAAGGACCAGGATCCAGTGGTATCAAATGTTAGATTAAATCATCTATTAGGTTGTTCATGAATAACAGAGATTCACTGCATTTGTTTTAAAAGGTGAGTAAAAATATATGATAAAATCCCTGTAGAAACAGAATTGGAAAAAAAAAAAGTAGAGAAGAGAAAAGCTTTACAACAAAATACATGCTGTCTTCAACACTTAATACTGTTCCTCTCTATTTTTAAGGGAAGTTTATGGTGAGAAGATAAATAATACATTTATATGACAAAATAATCCTTGGACATGTATACTAACAAGTTTTCTCTTATTTCACACCTGGAATTCGTCGGGGTCTGAAATATTCTACCATGGCGGGAATGGTATAGGTCCACTAAGCAAGTATATGGCTAAGTCGAAAACTGGTAGGCATGAGTCGAGTTGTTTCAACAGCCCTCACTCCAGGTTAGTTCTACCTTTTTCACTATTTTGCTTTAGAAAAAAGCTCTGGGGAAAAGGCAAGGTGAAATGACTATCCCAGTTGACACATCCAGATAAATCAGGGAAATATATCTACTTTTTTGGACAAACTTCACGGGGTTGGAACAGAGGTGTGTAGGGTATGTAGGGAAAGTGATGGCCAGGTAAACCTCTCAGAGTTAAGCACAGCTAGAGCTGGTGAACATCACTGCGGTACTAAATGGCAATATGAGTACACATAATTATACTAAAGAACGTGCGATTGTTCTCAAATCTCAACTGGCTGTTATAATCGAACATTGTCTACCACTTTAAAGAGTCATAGGCCCTTGAGAAACTGAAAGAGAACAAAGAGGAGACTAATAGCATGCCAAACCTTCATGTCACCATAGGATGACCATGGCTGCCTCCAGAGACAAGGGAGCAACAGTATAGCCCTCCCTGGATCAATTTTCCTGGTCAGTCAGATACCTCTCTACTAGCCAGGAATTGCTGAGGCAACAAAGCCAATCCAGAGCTATCATGTCAGAGTGAGCAAGCTTAATATATGGGACTATGGTTTTCTTTCACTGTGGCTGAAGTGCATATTTACACAAGTTTGTTTTATGGCACAGATATCTTCATGTGTTATTCTGAGTAACAGATGACACTAAGGCATCACTCTCTTTGGTATCATTCTTTACATCAGATCTTCTTGGCAGTACAAGGTCTTTACTTTATGCATGGTGACATTTCAGTCATTACCATCAGCCAGAATGCACAACTACCCTTGCCTGTTACCACAAGCAGAACCTTGGGCCCACGGGCTCTCTCAACCACAGTAAGCCAAATTTCCTGGAAAGGGAGGAGACCCCTCTAGAAATCTGCTTTGGCTTAAGGTAATGCTGCTTCAAAGAGGAACTCTTGTACTTGGAATCCAAATAAATGATGTAAAAATATGTAACAAGTATTTCATGGCTGGTTTCTCTATTCGTATTCATTTCTGGTGAGAGTGTTCCCATTTAAGCAATTCCATCTAATCATAACATCCGTAATAAATACCATTTGATCAGAGCTAGGTATCAGTACCAAGAAGAGTAAGTGAGTCATTCAGAGCATCACTGAGTTATTGCTCTCTTATGTCCTATTACAGTTGACATGTCGCATAACCTACTGGAATCACTCTTGTATTCTCCATTTTCCTTTTGGGTTGGAGAATTGTCACTCAGGAATTGAAGCTGGCGTTTGTAGCTGTGCTGAACTACCATCACAGTTTTATTGCTCTGTGTCAAAGACAAATCTAGCCAATTTGAGTAATATCACATAAAGACAATAATAAATAAGCCTTTCCTTTCATTTCGTTCTTTGCTACATGTCCCTTCTCTAATTCTTTATTTTTCTTTTTTCTTTTTGAATAAGAAGTTCAGTGATAAAAAAGTCCAATGCAATCAAACTAAATTTTAAACTCTGCAGAATCACAAAGATGGCAAATGATAGACAGCAAAATGTTTTTTTTTCTTAGATCTTGCTAAACCAGATGTCTGAGGGATTTTTTAAAATGTGAAGAATTAAAACTCATATTTAATCCAACAAACTCTGTGTATTCTCTAGATGTATATTTTATACTGAGAATTACTACAGTAATTGAAAAAATATCATTTCCAAAGGATAGGCAGCTGTAGTCAAGAGGCATAGATTTTTATTTAAAAGTAAAAAGCTAAAAGTACTACTGTCTAATAGCAGTATGCAAGATGATATTTTAAAAGATCAGGTCATTCACAGTTGCAGAAGCATCAGGCACAGACAGGGATTATTGACATAACTTCAAACGTGACATTTGATAAACTGTTAGGCACTTATATAGTGGGGAAGTGCTGTCAGATGTCATGCATTCAACATAAATAAACTGATTTTCATGCTGCCGTAGTGAAACATGTCAGGCCTGTAGGTGGAGAAGTTACTATGCGCTGCACAGATTAAAAGTCTTGCCCAAGCCGGAGATTATGGACTGCCGATGAGATCTTATCAGGTCACAGGTGATGGGAGCTGAACATCACAGGAAACCAGCACATGAGAGGCAGGTTAAACCATTTTCACCGATGTTCAACACTGTGGCGGTGATTTAGTAAAGGCTAAAATGAGTCTTCCTCAGACGGTTTGTATTTCTTGTCTCAGTGAATAAAAATACCAACAAATCTTGTTGTGTTAGAATATTTCACTCAATTCTCTGAGAGATAATATTTTGAAAATGCATCAAGCAACATGTGCAAGTACAGTACATTCATATTTCAACACACGTTCTAGAGAACGAGAAATAAGAGCAATTTTATGGAAATTTTTTGAACAAAGACAAACAAGATACATGGCCATGCACATATTTGGGGACATCAATTGACATATAGAGTTGTCAAACTACTGCCATAGCATGATACTTTAATACTGTGCGTTTAGGAAATATTATTTTGTAGCTACTGCATAATACTTTTTAAAATCAAAGACATGTGTTTAAATGTACGTTTTCCCAGAATTGTTGACGTCCATAAAGCTCTATGTTCAAAGATATCGTCTCTAAAGGTAATAACATTGCTGATTCTAGGATGCAGTTTAGTCTTGCATCAGACCTTCATTGTAATTTGAGGAAGAAAATGTCTAAATTAATTGCCTTGTTCTTCTTAAAAATATACAAGCAAATGGATGATAAGTTTCCATTTTATCTTGACAGGAATTTTTGAGTTCCACGTTTAAGTTGCAGAAAATTATCTTCATCTAATTTTGAGTACATACATCAAATGGAAAAGTCTCCTGATAATGATTTAGTGCCACAAGGCTTTCTGTGTATATGAACTTGAATTCAATTTGCTCACAAATCACTGGTCAAACAAATAATCTAGTCTTTAAATCAAAGCCACCAACAGACTTAAGAAATGTGGATGATATAATGACTGTCATATTTTAAAACAGTATTTTGACAAACAAGGATCACAACTACCAACATTTCAAATAAGAGTGAACTGGCATTACTGAAAGTTCAGCTTCTAGTGAGCAGTGTGAGACAAGCTGTAAATTCTGGAAAGTAATAAAAGGCTGTCATAAAGGATCATCAAAAGAAGTCAACCTTTCAAAGTAAAATATTTTTAAAATGGAAAAACAAATATGATGTAGGTTTTCCAAATAGTTTCTTTAGAAATACACACATACATACACACACACATATATAAACATATATAATATACATATATACATACTTGAAATATACATATATATAACCTTTTTTTCCAAAACCAGATAATGGAATATAATGTGTCAAAGTCTTTAACTTTATAGTGTTAGATTGGTATCCATTTATTATAAACACAATTTAATTTGAAAATTCAAATGTAAACAAAATACTAAAGAGAAACTCAGGAATATGAATGAAAAACAATAATAATTAGAGCAAATAGCACTTAATAATTACATAGACTAGGTGTGAATTTTATATATGTGTTAGAAGAGTTCACACACATTATTATTATCCTTGGTACAATATTAATCTTGTTATGACAAGTCACCTTTTTTATTATTATAGTAAGAGAAATATTAGCATGCTTTTTTGTTTTAATAAGGTTAGTGTAACTGTTTTGAATTCAACATTAAGGCATAAATGTTCATGGCATAATTGTGGCTTTGTGACAGACTTTGTACATTGTTGAGATAGTAGTTACTGCAGAATCATAATTGAGTCTTTAATGTTTATGGAGAAGGTAAGTCAAAATTATATTATCAATGTTTATTTTCACTACATATTTTTACTGACTGCCTGTTACATGCAGTTTCATTCATCACTAAGATGGTCTTTCAAATACTATAATATAAAATATTAGAGTGATTTCTGTTTTTATACAATCAAACAACCACCATGTATGTGTCATAGAAGGCATTACATAAATATGCAAGAATAGCTCCTCTGTTGTTTGTTTACAGACTATTGGATTTTGATTTAAAAAATTGTGTTTAATATCATATAAATAAAAGTTTTAAAAGACCAATGAGTCTTTTATCACAAGCTGCCTCTTGTGATATTTTGTGCTAATCAGAAACCCTAAAACCAAGCCGTCCGGAAGGACTACTAATCACATTAGGTCACTAGGCATTTGACAGTGTTTCACTCAGAATTGATAGTTGAGTTTGAGGTTAGTTAGGCTGATTTTTTTATTGCGACTCTAAATTCTAGGACATTATACACAATCTGTAGCATTGCCTTTGAATTACCTGCTGCAAAGCACTTTCTTTCAGGTCATATGAGCATGCCAGTGTGAATACTGGCTAAGACTTTTAAACTTCTCAGTTCCTCCTAGATATGTCTTGCTTTCCAGGTATAAAATTATTATTATCACCCACCAGTTTTATTGTTTTTATACACAGAGATCCAGGAAATTACAATTATCTTGATTAAGATAAAAGTAAGACTAATATTATTTTAGGCAATCATTGTCTATATTTTATTGTTTCTCTTTTCATATCACCAGACATCTTATACACTTGCATGTTAATACAATTTATTTGTCTAAGATCTATTTGCATTTACCCATCAAGGCAAATCCATAAAATGAACATTTTATGATTCACATATTCTATTTTTCTCTACACAATAGCAATAGATAATTGGATCAGGTCTACACGTGTTATACCAAATCAGGAAATATGTATGCTATGTGGCTGGGCTTATTAAAAAATAAGCCTGATCAACATAATCTGACAAACGAGTTGCAAAACTTTTGCAGTAACATTAAGAGATAGGCCTGGGATACTTAAATTTTGAGGTTGGGATGGTTATTCTAAATAATCTGCGAGATAACTTACCAAGAAACAAACACAATAGCAATGGCAGCAACATAAAACCCATATACTTTGTAAGGATAGAAAAGTTACAGCAATAAGCATGAGGGATGAGTCACCAATGGAGAGAAGAAAGAAAGAGATGGATGAAAGAGTGCCCTGGAACTGCCAATTCCTTGTGCTTGGAGAGTTTTGCCTGGATTCTTGTGAGGCCTGGATTCTGCAATATGCCTCTTTCAAAGTTACTGGTTCGAGTGGGTTTCCTTTCCAGGAATCTAAAACAGTGTGATCAAAATATGTAAAACACTTAAATGAAGGAATTATAGAATATAATTGCTTTGGTAATTTTTAAAAGTCAGTAATGCAAACAGAATTAGAGCAAGGGTTTAATGATTAAAAAGCAAGGGCGGGCTGGGTGCGGTGGTTCACGCCTGTAATCCCAGTACTTTGGAAGGCCGAGGCCGGTGGATCACGAGGTCAGGAGTTTGAGACCAGCCTGACCAACATGGTGAAACCCAGTCTCTACTAAAAATACAAAAATTAGCCAGGCGTAGTGGCCTGTGCCTGTAATCCCAGCTACTCAGGAGGCTGAGGCAGGAGAATTGCTTGAACCTTGGAAGTGGAGGTTGCAGTGAACAGAGATCACGCCACTGCCCTCCAGCCTGGGTGACAGATTGAGACTCCGTCTCAGAAGAAAAAAAAAAAGCAAGGACAAAAATTGCCTCAGCAGATTAGCATGTATTTGCTTTAACCAACGAATGCTACTTCTGTTCTGTTTTTTTTTTTTTTTTTTTTTTTTTTTTTTTTGCCCCTCATGTTTATTTAGACATCCCAGTCTTTTACTAAGTTCACCTTTACCCTCACTGAGATGTTAGTGAAGGTTGAACTGAATGGCGAATACTGTGCAAGGAAGATTAAGGAAAGAATGATGGTGGTTTTATAGAGTGTTAAGGGAGGGAGAACAGAAGTTTCCTTAGACCCAGAAAATTCTCTTTCAGCCTGTAATTGTAGAGGATAATAAGAACAAGAGAGGTTTAAAAAAAAATTAAAACATGGCAAAAAAAGATGTTGGTATTCAGAAGACTGTCTGATACAAACATGAGTGCTAAAAGATATTGCTAGAACTATTATGAGTCGAGGTGATATTAACGAGGACACTGTTATTTAGTTTTTGCCACCATGAAATTATTGAGTCATCGTGCCTCAAATGCAGGTGCAGAATTCATATTTCCTGAAAGATGAAAAGAACCTGGAAAAAATCCAGAGAAGATATATTAAAAT
This sequence comes from Homo sapiens, assembly GCF_000001405.40. Classification (NCBI taxonomy): domain Eukaryota; kingdom Metazoa; phylum Chordata; class Mammalia; order Primates; family Hominidae; genus Homo; species Homo sapiens. Next base: position 179,358,043 of record NC_000004.12, on the reverse strand, counting down.
GGCTAATCATCTGGTAAACAAGATTTGAACATGTAGTACAAAAAAATGATTTAGTTGCTGGCTGAGGATGGGGGTGAGTAGATGGAGGTATTTTTTAAAATTATTCCTTTTTTTTTTTTTCTGATGGAGTCTTGCTCTGTTGCCCAGGCTGAAGTGCAGTGGCGCGATCTTGGCTCACTGCAACCTGCATGTCCCGGGTTTAAGCAATTCTCCTGCCTCAGACTCCTGAGTAGCTGGGATTATAGGTAGAATTATTCTTAAAGCATATGAAGAGTGATTATGGGAACTAGCAGTTCTGCATTTCTTTTGGCTGTGGAACAGGAGGAAATTGAATTAACCCATGTGATTTAGGTTAGGTGTTAGGAACACAGAAGAAACTAGGAATCGTAGTTAGAACATTTCCATCACTGGAAATCATGGACTGAATACAGTCTCTGAAATTATGACACACACGACAACACTCAGTCTGAATAAATGAAACCTCAAGCCCCCTTTTATGATTCTGTAAGAGAGATACGGTGAGGGTGTCTTTTTATCAAATGTGTCTATTGAATCATGCTATCGAACATGAACTTTTCTTTATGGTTGTAAACACAGAACTTTCCAAATGAAACAAATATCAGATGTGTCTTTTTTGATGGCTTGTTAGTAATGTTTCTCCCCAGGATCCCCTGTAACTACACCTCCCTTGTGGAATACTGGGCTTGTACTTTTCTTAGAATGCCCAGCCTACATATTCAATCTTTGCGTTTTCTTTCTCTCTGTGATAGGCAGTAGTGAACTTCAGAAATATTTCTGAAGGTCTGCCCTCTGGACACTTACAGAATCACAGCTTCTAGCACTCTTGTGGGTGTGTAGGGCCAAGTGACTAGCTTTGGATAAGTCATGAGTGTTAGTCATGTGTGTCCCTTCTAGGTCATGTCTCCAGTTGTTGGTGGTAAACCTTGTAGAACTCTCAGTTTTCTCTCTGTCATGTCAACTGATAACATGAGACACGGGGGCCGCTCCGGTACCCTGGCGCAGTCCCTGAGTGCTGAGGTGAGCCCTTGATGAAGAGTGTAACAGGAACATTATGGACACATAACATCCTCCAGAGTCCTTGATGGACTAATAGCAAGAGCAACATATAAACTCTGTCATTTCCAATTACTAAGCTTTGGGGTTATTTGTTACTTAGCCCATCTGAGTGCAACACTATCTTTCTCATAAATTCTTAAATTACGTGCCACGAAACCTGATACTCACTAAGCTCTCTGTTCTATAATGTTCTCCTGATGTGAAATCTTTTTGTGCCTTTGCATGATAGAATCTTCCTATGGACATTAACCTTAGAGAGCACAACAGATACAGCTTACTCACAACCTTTTGCCAGAAAGGAGTTGTGAAACTTCTCTAGACAAAAGAGCTGGAAGTTTGGATAAAACACTGACAGTTATTGAACTTTGTCTCACATTTTGATCTCAGTGGAGTCCTTCTGTTAATTAAAAGGAAAAAAATTAAAAGTAAGAAAGATATGGGCACATTGAAAACCAGGGAACTTTATTGTTTAATTTTTATATTTATAATATTTTTAAAAATCAATCGATTGATTATTTTGTTCTTTCACTAATTTAGCAAGTGTTTATTAAGTGGACTCTATGTGATAAATGGTGATCTAGGTGTCAGAGATAACAGTATTGCTTAAAATAGATATCCTTTTCTCGTGAAAGTGGAGATAGCCAATTAAACAAAAATAGTAACTGGTATCATGGACCTGCCAGACTGCCAGCATTCAAACCCAGGCACCACTATAGTTGAGTGAAGGACAGATATCTATCCTTTCTCATCCATGTTTTAGTTATCTGTACAATATGGAAAAAAGACATAACATAATAAGCCTATATAAGGATGTTTTAATATAGGTAAAGTTCTTGAATCCATCTTTGAGACATAATAAATACCCAATATGTGTTAGTGATATGATGGTGGTGATAATGGTGATGATGGTGATTACATAAATGTATAATATTATTTCAGCTTTGAAGAAAAAATTCAAAGCACTACAAGGATATCTTAAGATTCTAAAGTCAGCAAAGTTATCAGAAAATAATAATTATACAGAAGTTGGAATGTTTCAAGGTGTGGGTCACGTTTCTGTGGAAATAGCATTTCTAGGCACTAAGAGAGAAATTAGCTAGTACTTAGAATGTACTTTGAGTATTTGAAGAGAATAGGAAGACTAGTGTGACCAATGTGGAGCAAGAGAAGAAAAATGAAGTAGGAAAGAAGCTCTATGAACCAGCCAGAAGGCTGGCCAGTTGAGGAAAATAAGTTTAGCTTATAAAATGATTAATAAGTAAAATTAGGCTGGGCACGGTGGCTCACGCCTGTAATCCCAACACTTTGGGAGGCCAAGGTAAGCAGATCACCTGAGGTTAGGAGTTTGAGACCAGCCTGGCCAACATGATGAAACCCCGTCTCTACTAAAAATACAAAAATTAGCTGGGTGTGGTGGTGCGTGCCTGTAATCCCAGCTACTCGGGGAGGTGAGGCAGGAGAATCACTTGAACCCGGGAAGCATGTTTGCAGTGAGCCGAAATCACGCCACTGCACTCCAGCCTGGGGACAAGAGCGAGACTTAGTCTCAAAAAAGAAAAAAAAAAGTAAAAGTAATGGAATACAAGGGTTTAGGATCTATATTTGAGGTCAGATTCATACCATGCTTTATCAAGAAGAAGGAAAGTTTATAAAAACATATACATTACATTAAATAATTCCAACATTCTGTGTAGTTTTTTTTGTTTGTTTTTTGTTTTTTGTTTTGAGATGGGTCTCACTCTGTCACCAAGACTAGAGTGCAGTGGCATGATCTCGGCTCACTCCAACCTCCATCTCCCGGGTTCAAGCGATTCTCCTGCCTCAGCCTCCTGAGTAGCTGGCTCTACAGGCATGCACCACCACGCCTAGCTAATTTTTGTGTTTCTAGTAGAGAAGGAGTTTCGCCATGTTGGCGAAGATGTTCTCCATCTGCTGACCTCATGATCCGCCGCTCTCGGCCCCCGAAAGTGCTGGGATTACAGGCGTGAGCCACCACGCCCAGCCTCTGTGTAGTTTTTACCTTCAGGTATTCACCGTTTTGGATCCTTAGAGAGAAAAATGAACTGAAGTGGTTAGTATGACTGAGGAACTACATTTTATATTTTTATTTCATTTTAGTTAATTTAAAATTACACTTAAATAGCCATGTGTGGCTATTGCAGAATACAGATCTAGTCCTCAGAAGCCTCCACCAATTCTGCAGTACTTGACAAGTGACTGCCTCAATGTTAAAAGTGCATCACAGATGAATCTTGCTGTGAGAAAACTTCTATTTCATGCTGGGGGTTGCCCTTGGAAGAAATCTTGTCAAAACCTTCCATAAGCACACTCTTGCTTGATTGGATTCTGTTTCAGCTTTGGAAATATTACAGTCCAACATGTCCTAGTGGGATATTTTATGATGCTTGGATTCCAACTCAACATGAAAATATCCACTGAGATTTGTACGTTCAATTTCTTCTCAGATGTCTGCATAGATGATTTTTTTTTTATCTGAAATTGCTACTACTGACTCTAGGAAATTGTAATGATTTTGATTCTTCACATTTTATTGACAAATGATGTTGAAGCTACACATCTTAGATGTTTCCTGTAATGAGTGTTGACTAATCTTTCCTGTTGCTATCTGATTGGAAGGAATTAGTGACAGATTTAAAGATATTCTACCTGCTTACCACAATCAAAGACGAGCAGATGGAGAATATTATAGTATTTATATGTATCATAATTACGGTTTAGGGAAATTGACTAGATATATTTGTTTATTGATGACAAATAATGCATATGAGAAATAAAATCTTTTCATTATCTAATGGCTCTTTTAGATTTATCTAATAATACATTTCTTTCCTTTTCTGTTTCCGGTCAGATGTAATTGAGTCATGACAGATTACACTTGACATTTTGGTTCTGTTTGCTGCTTTCGGTTGCTCTGAGTACAAAATAAAAAGTAGCCACTAGTCCTTTGTTACATAAAATCCTGTAAAACACCATTCTGCTGACAGGCTCATTAGTCATTGTGTGAGGGAAAAGCTGTATTTCCATACTTGACATGCAAAAGTAAATCAACGGTTTCCTAAATGCCAGCCAAGTTCCAGTTATAAATAGTATGACATAGAAATTCATGCTAGAGACATTAGAATGTGCATGGATATGTACACACACATGCACACACACCCATTACTCAAATGCACTAACTTGGAAAAAAAAATGGCCATTAGGTACTTAATACCTAAAAATTATTTGAACTATGGAAATCTTGATACATTTTTTAAAATTTTTCTAGTGATTTTGTTAATAAAATCCAGGAATCATAGGTAAAATATTTTATGTTGAGGTTTTCTAAATTAATTAATCAATAAAACCAACAAGAGAAAGTCTGGGGTATATTTAAGTGCAAAAAAAAATCTTTACTGGTTCATATGTCATAATTATCAGAGGTAAGCATGACATTTCTAGATGCTAGAGAGAGTTGGGAAAAGTGCCCTCTACATTTGCAAAGACTTCCTCTGAGGAGTCTATAAGCAGCACTGGGATCTTTCACCATCTTCCAGTGTGGGAGCTAAGAGAAGACAAGGAGGCTGCAGGAGCAGCATATTTTCTCAACTGGACCAATCCATGCAAATAATTTGCTTGTTTGGTGTATTTCTGGAACATCATTTAGAAGTGTACCTAATGGAGTAAAACTCCTTTTTCCCCATATGAAGGCAAGGTACAAACAATGGCAAAATTATTTAAGGTTAAATAATATAATATTCTTGGAAATATGTCTGTCTCAGAATAATTGCTCAATGAAATTTCACAATGGCCTGGAAGAAACACTGTAGACATAAAGATGATTCCTTATAATAGTAAAGAACACAGGTTTTTCTCCCTATATTAAATTTTTTGGAAAGGAGAGTATTCTGTTTATGACTTATACATAAAAATAATGACATGATATATATAAAAGTTGTCTATGCATTTTAGCTTTTAGAACGCTCTATTATCAAATTTTAAATGTTTTTTGGAATTGTGTTGCTGTACTTTGTCACCAATAATCAAATACATATATACATTAGATGAGTGCTTGATTCTTTTAAAAGAAGATAGAATTCCTTTTTGCCTGCCCCCTCATATAACACATAAAATACAACAAAAATAATTTTGCTTCTCAAAGTGTCTTTCAAATTACATTGGTTTATTTTCTACTCTTTCAAAATATGTTTGCAATCATTACATTAAATTGATTGCATGCAGTATAGCTGTCTTATGTTTGTCTTCTCAGAAGGGCAAGAGTTGGGGGCTGATTTTAAGCTCTTTAAGAATTGATACAGATTTTAAGATTCGATTGGAAGAAAACTATCTTGGGCCCCCAAAATCACTAAGGAAAACTCAAGCTGGAAATTGCTCAGAGGAAACCTGGCTCCCATTCTATTTAAAGTTATCCCTCTGCTTACTGAGACAGTTGTCTATCTGATTGCCTCCTTTGGAAAGACTAATCAGAAACTCAAAACAATGCAACCCTTTGTGACTCAACTATGTGTGACCTGGAAGCTCCTCCCCACGTGCTTTCAGTCTTTCTGCCTTTGCTTCAAGTTGTCCTGCCTTTCCAGACTGAACCAATGTACTTCTTACCCACACTGATTGATTGATGTTTCATGTCTCCCTAAAATGTGTAAAACCAAGCTGTGCCCTGACCACTTGGGTACGTGTCATCAGAACTCCCTGAGGTTGTGTCACAGGCACATCCTCAACCTCAGCAAAATGAACTTTCTAAGTTAACCGAGACGTGTCTCGGATTTTCTGGGTTCACAGATAGAAGTCTGAACACTATGTTTTTCTTTAATTTGTTACATAACTCCCACAGGGAACCAAATCTCTCTGAAACTCAGTAGATTTCTCCCTAAAATGGGGCTATTTATGGTATCACTCATACATTTCCTGAAGACTAAATGAATACAAACCTCCTGACTCAAACTTGGTATGTCAATGCCAGTTTCTTCATTTTCCCAGCAGATATTGCAGATTTAAAAAAAATAAAAAACACCAAAATTAATCATTCTGAATCACACTTGATTTCCTTCATCTTTCATTTTCACGTCTTAATTATTCCCCAATTCACTTATCTCCTTATTGCTGACCTGAATACTATGGAAACATTCATATGCTTGTGACAGTGAGTGAATACACCCAGGGAAGGGCTCTACTTCTACCAACAAAACTTGACAAATCATACCCCCTGAGGGTAGCAGAGGAATAATGGCCATGAGAGAAGATGGCCACAATTTAAACTTCCACAAAGCAAAATTGGTTGCCATTTACCTACCAGATGTGCAAAAAAGAAAGAAAGGAAGAAAGAAAGAAAGAAAGAGAAACTTAGATATAAATGGCTGAATAACATATACCATAAATGCAATTGCAGCATTTGACTCACAGTAAGTAGATACCTGCCTTTGTCAATAAAAATGTCAGATTAAATGGTTACTAATTTGAAAATATTTTCTATATTAATAAACAACTTATATTGGCTTCATAGTTTCCCTGACTTTCTAAAAAATTTTAGTTATCATGGCAATAAAAGCAAGCCACTCCATTTGAATTTCAGTTTAAATTTTAACGCTTACCTTTGTGTTAATTTCCATTTTGTAGACAATATTTGGTTCTGGTCTTATGCAATTATTTTTTGGTAATGTAATTTGAAAGTCTCTAATGCATCCAAACTTTTGGTGTCGTCTCTTCCTTGATTTCTTGGTTTCCATTTTCACATAAACGTATCATCTCAAATATTCCTGCAAATAGTCTCTGGATATGAGAATCCTTACATTTTTTTCTGGTAGTCACCTATGAAGTCTTGCTCTGAACTCCAACCCTAATGATTATTTAAATTATTATGGAATCCTATTTTCAATAATTCTTGATATTCAAATTGCTTATGATTATCCTGTCCCAAAACATGAACACAATCCTTTCACCAAATCATTGAACAAAGAACCAACAATGCAAAGCTGTTTTGCCTCACAGATGTTTCCCGAATATTTGAGACTAATGGATATAATTATAGCCCAGGACACAAAGAAATTTAAACTCTAGTGTCAGCTATCACTGCTCCTAAGATCATTACAATTTACCTACCATAGAGAATTTCAAATGGCCATCTGTCCCCCTAGAATCCAGCCTGCTACTGTGTTGATACACTCTACTTTCAGGATTTTCTCTGTACTCATTTTCCTTCAGCCCAGATGCCAAATTTCCTTCTCTAAAAATTCTTATTACTTCATCAGGCAAAGCAATTTTGTTAAATTTTGTCTCAATTTTTCCACTCATTCTATATTGGAAAGTTATAATTTTTATAAACAAAAAGGTCAATAAAAATTTTTTCAGTAAATTTTCCCTGGAGAGAAGTCCTAACATTTCCAAATTATGACATGAAATAGCAACTCTCCTTCTAGTTACCTGATGATTTTTTTGGGGGGACAGGGTCTCGCGCTGTCGCCACTAGGCTGGAGTGCAGTGGCATGAGATTGGCTCCCTCCAAGCTCCGCCTCCCGGGTTCACGCCATTCTCCTGCCTCAGCCTCCCGAGTAGCTGGGACTACAGGCGCCACAACGCCCGGCTAATTTTTCGTATATTTAGTAGAGAAGGGGTTTCACTATGTTAGCCAGGATGGTCTGGAGCTCCTGATCTCGTGATCCGCCTGCCTCGGCCTCCCAAACTGCTGGTATTACAGGCGTGAGCCACCGTGCCCGGCCCTACCTGATGATTTTTTACAAAGGGATACCCAAAATACATGAAGAATTTCACACTGACAGAAAGTTTTCATAAACATCAATTGTTTCACAAACATCTATTTATTTACATTCAAAACTAAAATTTATGGCAACCGAATGATATAGGCAAAGCATGCCTGTGGTCTTCTGTTTTTCATGGGTTTTCTGTTTAGAGATGGGTAAGCTGAGGTTAAAGAAAATAAGCAACTTTCTCTGAATTACACAGTGTCTCCTAGCTTTTCTTATTTCTATCCAGGTCTTTTTGTATTAGAATGCTTAAGTATAAAGGACTTCATTTAAAGAATGGAAGCTGTCAGGACTGGAGTCTGGGCTGTGTGTGGGTTATGCTCTCTGCCATCCCTACATGCATAATGTCCCCTCAATAGAGACGACAGAGTCAACACATAGAGGTCAAGATCAGAGGCAGATTATTATTACTATTTTTAGAGAATCTAGCTGTAGTTTTCCCTAGATCGAGATCTACTCTTGCTCTTCTCAGTTTTGAGAATGTAAACCAAAGCTGTGTCTGTTTTCAGTAAAGGCAATTTCATGGGAACCGTGGACACTTAAGACATATGGCAGGCTTAACTGTGGTCGTGGGTTTTTGAAAGTGTCTAGCAGTGCCTGACATTATTAACATTCAATAAATTATGACAATTTTTTGAGTTGATAATGTGGATTTTGTCGTTCTTTCTACTAGTATAAGATGTATTATAGGGTTTGTTTGTTTTTGTTTTTGTTTTTGAGACGCAGTCTCGCTCTGTCACCCAGGCTGGAGTGCATTGGCGCGATCTCAGCTCACTGCAAGCTCCATCTCCCGGGTTCACGCCATTCTCCTGCTTCAGCCTCCCGAGTAGCTGGGACTACAGGCACCTGCCACCACACCCGGCTAATTTTTTGTATTTTTAGTGGAGACGGGGTTTCACAATGTTAGCCAGGATGGTTTCAATCTCCTGACCTCGTGATCTGCCCACCTCGGCCTCCCAAAGTGCTGGGATTACAGGTGTGAACCACCGCACCCGGCCTATAGTGTCTGATTTTTATATGATAAACCAATCTTTTATTTCTTGGCTAAATCCCATTTGGTCATGTGTATAATTCTTTTTAAATGTTGCTGCAGATTGTTGGATAATACTTTAGAAGATTTTGTTTATACACTCTAAGGGATACTCATTTGTGTATTTCCTGTGATGTGCTTGTCTGGTTTCAGAATCAAGGTAATGATGGCCTCATAGTATGAGTTGGGAAGTGCTTACTCTCTTCTAATTTTTGGTAGTGTTTGGAAATAATTATATTAATGCTTTATTTGATAGAATGTATCAGTGAAGCCATCTGGGCCTCAGCTTTTCTTTATGGTAGATATTTTTGATTATTAATTATTAATTTTTAATTTTTAAATGTTTATTCAGATTTTCTATTTTTTGTCAGTTTCAGGGTTTGTGTTTTTCTAACTGATCTGATATATTTGCATACAATTATTCATAGTATTCTCTTATGATGCTTTTTATTTCTGTAAAGTCAATAATGATGTTGCCTTAGCTGGGCATGGTGGTTCACACCTATAATCTGAGCTCTCTGGGAGGCAAGGTGGGTGAATTGTTTGAGCTCAGGAGTTCAAGACCAGCCTGGCCAACATTGTGAAGCCCCCTCTCTATCAGAAATACAAAAAATTAGTCATGAGTGGTGGCTATCACTTGTAGTCACAGCTACTCAGGAGGCTGAGGTAGGAGATCTATTGAGCCTGGGAGGTAGAGGTTGCAGTGAGCTGAGATCGTGCCAGCCTGCCTGACAGAGCAAGACCCTGTCTCAAAAATTAAAATAAAAATAAAAATAAATGATGCCTCCTCTTTCCATCCTGATTTTAGTAATATAGACCTCTCTCTTTTTTTCTTGGTCAGCCTAAAGGTTTTTGCAATTTTTCTAATCCTTTTAAAGAAACAACTTTTGTTTTTGTTGATTTTCTCTATTTTTTAAATTTACTTCCTAATACCTCATTATTTCTTTTCTTCTGTCTGCTTTAAGTTAATTTGCTCTTCTTCTTCTAACTCCTTTAGATGGAAGCTTAGGTTACCAACTTGAGATCTTTCTTCTTTTTTAATGAAAAGCTATAAATTTCCCTCTAATCACTGCCTGAGCTACATTTCATAAGTTTGGTATATTTTCCTTTTGTTTACATGTGTCTCAAAGCATTTTCTATTTCTCTTCTGATTTCTTCTTTCCTCATTGGCTATTTAGGTGTGTATTGTTTGGTGTCCACGTATTTGTGTATTTCTGAAATTCCTTTTTGTTGCTTTCTACTTTCACTCACCTGTGGGCAGAGTATATGCTTTGTATTGTGACAATCATGTTACATTGATTGAGGCCTGTGTTAGAACCTTCTCTACGTCTGTTCTGGGAAATGTCTCATGATCCCTTGAAAAGATGATTGTAACTATTTTATCTTCCTAATGAATTAATTCTTTTATTAATATAAAATGTTTTTTTGACTCTAATAATAATTTTGCTTGGAGTCTATTTTGTCTGATATTAGTACAGCTACTCTTACTCTTCTTTGGTTATTGTTCACATTTCCATCCTTCTAGTTTCAACTTATATGAGTCTTCAACTAAACGTGTCTCTTGTAGAAAGCATATAGTTACTTTTTTTTTCCTGTGGCATACTTTCATTTTTCTTTGTGTTTCTTATAATTTTGTTGTTGTTGAAAACTAAAGATTTGACATAATGTATTCTAACAACTCTGGTAGCACATTCTCCCTCTATCCCAAGGTGTGTGGTTGTGATTACTGTGTTTTTTGTTGTCGTTGTTGTTGTTACTTATTATTTTAGTGACTTTTCTGGATTATTCCTGTAAATTCTGTATTCTCTGCAGCATGTGGTCACTTCACTTTCTGCTAGTTTTTTTTGTTTTGTTTTGTTTTGTTTGTTTGTTTGTTTGTTTTTTAGGTTTCATTTTGAATCCTGACTTCCTATGCATAACTTCTGGATCATTATAATATGGTAGTCAGCCACTGATTAGTCAGATTTTCTTAATTGTTTTGCCTGTATGTCTTCCACACTTTGCCATGGGGATTATGAAAGAAGTCATGACTTTAAACTTCAGACAGTTTACAAGACAGCCTTCGTTTTTACATTCTGCTTGTACAGGATCTCAGTGTCCCCCAGAGGTGAGTGATAGGTGCCTTTTCCTTTTTCAGGTCTTTCCAAGGAATGGCTTCACAAATGTTTGCAGCCATTTATATCACCAGAACTCTGTTAGAGCTTTTCAGAGTTCTCTATGGCCTTGTAGATCCTCAAGATTTACTTTTAAATTCCTGGCCAGGTTCTTTTTTGATCCGACTAAAGTCATGGAATTATGCAGCTCTGACTGCTTGATAGCAACCAGCAGATAGTTATGTGTATAGCAATGTCCTGAGGGTAGAGCAACTTCCACGGAATTGAATTAACTGGCTTTCCATTAAATTTAGGTGTTACTTTTTCCAGAAAGTCTTTACCCAATAAAAGAATAAGAGGCTCCTTCACTTTCTCCTCTAGCTTTGGGTTTCCTTCTCTTATACTTACTATCCTGAAGGCTACTTGTTCTTTTCTCTCCTGCTAGGAGGACAGCTCTTAATTATAATGAATAGTAAGAGTAGTACTTATAATAATAACATTGTCATTTACTAAGTGCCATCTGCCATCAGGCACAGTATCAGTTACTTTTCAAACATGGTAGCAGTTTCTTAAATCAACTCTGCCAGGCAAATAGTATGAAGATCTCGATGTTCAGAATGAAGAAAATGAGATTCAGGGGGAACAACCAACCGATCCAGAGTCACATTTAGAAAATTATAGATCCAGCTCTCTCTCAATCATGACTAAGCCTGAGTTTTTCTTACTCTCAAGTGTTTTTGAAATCTAGCTGCTCATTAGAATCACCTGGAAACCCATCCTAAATATCGATTATTATACTTTTCTAAGACATAATGTATACAAATATCTGAGATAAACATCAAATTTCATAGGTTTAATGAGATCTTCCCAACGTCCCAACTTCATCTCCTAAGCCTTAATTTTTACCATGATAACAAATTGCTTGCAGTTTCCTGAACATGTGACAACCTCTCAACATTTACTCCTTTGTGTATGTTTTGCTCATTGTGTGAAATACCTTCACTTAACAACCTGTGCTCAGATTCATTTTTATTGTATTCTATATTTCTTAATCTCCACCTTTTAGAAATAGGTTTTGTATGAGATGGAGGAGGAAAAATGCATATATATGAAATATATATGCATACATATATTTATAATGAATTACATGTAAAAACACATAGTTGTATATAAAAGCACACATACAAACCTACACACATGCAATATTACATATATACATAAGGATATATCTTGTGATACTGTTCTATAATTGACTCTTTCCCTAGACTACATGTTCCACTCTATCTTTATTACCTAGTATAGTCTATGGACCTTAGAAGGCATTCATTAATATCTTGGATGAATGGATTAATAATACAATATCATCAGTGAATGTTTAAATGCTTTAATGTTCTAGTAGTACAGATTAAGTCTTCAATTCTTTGAAACAGAGCACTAATATTAACTCATGTTCAATGTTGCTGCCAAATGAAATTCACCAAAGTAAAAATTCATGACCTGGTTATTTCCTTCCCACTCTCTGTGATTTTTGTTCTTCACAGTGATTTCTCTCAGGACTAGAAAGATTTAAACTGGATGTGAATAATCAATCTCGTTTTCTTGTTGGGCCCAGTATTCAGGTTATAACATTGCCATAGGATTATGAAAGCAGAGAAGCTGGATTGAATTTTAACTAAGCTCACCCATAAATTCAGGAGAAGTCGGTGTCTCAGGCTCTTCCTTGTTTTACTATTTTATTTCTCTGTTATTTAAAAAATTCCCTTTATTAAAACAAAAAAAACATGATTTCTATAATTACAGATATTCTAAATAATTTTGTGTGGCTATATTTACAATTTGTTTCAAATGAATGAATTTCTTTCATGATATGTGCTGTTTATTTTTATAATGAAAATGTATCAACAAAACTCCTCTATCTGGCATAGCCTTTTCCCTTCATGAAGGGAGCACTTTGTTATGAATAGATGCCTTTTGGATTAAGTTCAGGACAGAGCTGTTTTCAGAAAATTACCTCCATTTTGGCTAACATCCCAGGGGTATTGGCATACTGTAATGACATTGTGGTACATGGGCTACCCATATTTTTTCATGATAAACAATTCTGGCATCTATTTAAATGTCTTCAATAACATCCTGTTATCCTTATTTTACAGAAAGAACATTGTTGGAGCTTCCAAAATTTACTGTGTATTTTTTCTATATTCTCCCACTGCAGCTTTAATAGTCTGAGAGATAAACTATTTTGTTCAGTATCACTAACTCAAGATACTGAATATTTCCCCGTCTTATTTTAAAATTTATTGAATTCATTCTTTCCTACTATGATTTATTGTAAGCCAACTCTTATCATTGTTTTGTTTACATGTGCATGACATTCTAGTTTTCAGGCCACAGTCAGTATTTTAAACAAATATCCTCAAAATCATACAATGCTTTGACTCATGTTCCCCAAATTGCACAATTTCACAGACCTTTTCTCTAGAAGTTTCCTGAAAATAGTTAGAAACAAAAGAATATCATGGACTTTCAAAAGGCTCTCCAAAGTTTAAGTTACATAAATTTTACCTGGATAATTTTTTGAAAAAGTTATCTTTTTTTTTTTTTTTTTTTTTTTTTCTTTTTGGAGACTGAGTCTCACTCTGTCCCCAGCCTGGAGTGCAGTGGCGCGACCTCGGCTCACTGCAAGCTCTGCCTCCTGGGCTCATGCCATTCTCCTGCCTCAGCCTCCCGAGTAGCTGGGACTACAGGCGCCCGCCACCACGCCCAGCTAATTTTTTTTTTGTATTTTTAGTAGAGACGGGGTTTCACCATGTTAGCCAGGATGGTCTCGATCTCCTGACCTCGTGATCCGCCCGTCTAGGCCTCCCTAAAAAAGTTATCTTAAGGCCAGCCCCCAGAGATTTTGTTTTTGAAGTTCTGTAATGGGGTGCAGTCATGTGCAGTTTAAATAGCTCACCAGGTTTCTCTGATGGAGGCAACATGAGTTATCCCACTGTCTTTTTCCAGTGATGCAAATTGCATTACATTTTGTTTTCTGGAGTCTTACAAGGTATTTTTCTTCCTGAACTCTCTGGTTTCTTGCTTTTAAATCTGTATGTGCTCACCATATAATTTGATTTACATTTTATTCATGAGCCAATGTCACGGAACTATTTCAAAATTAGCCCTAAACCTTTCTTTGTCACTTTTCTGCTGTCTGCTTTTCTAACTGATGTCAACGTTTGTAGAGCTAAGATTTGCATACAACTTTAATGGTAGTGAAAATGGCTGTAAATTGCAACAGCCAGAGAAGGTCCTTGAATATCACATTCTGGCTGGCATTCCTAAGCAACTGGTTTCCATCATTTGAAGTTTAGGAGCCATGTAGGATTCAGATTTGGTACTTAAATCATTTTGCGGGTGTAAAAATAAAATCTGCTGTGGTCACAGGACTGTTCTGGGTTAAAGTAGACAGGCATACCTTCCCTACTTCAGGAAAGTTTAAATGTTTAAAGTTTTCCCTGTTCGTGTACAGGTAAAGTAGATGGTTTCCTACAGCGAGATATTTTGAAAAGGATCTTATTATGAGTGAAATAAGCCAGTCACAGAAGGACAAATACTGCATAATTCTACTCATATGAGGTATCTAAAATTGTCGGACATCTAGATTCAAAGAATGCAATGGTGATTACTAGGAGCTGGGAGGAGAGGAAAACAGTGAGTTACTACTCAATATCTATAAAATTGTAATTGTTCAAAGTGAATTAGTCCCAGAGATCTCATGTAAAGTCTTATGTCCATAGGTTAAAATACAGATTTGTGCACTTTAGATCTCTTAAGAGGATAGATCTCATGTAAAGTGTCTTATCAAAAATTAAAGAAAAAATTAATCAAGGAAAAAGTAGACAATGCTTATCTTAATAGAGATAGATAGAATAAATAGATTATGACCTTAAAACTTAACAAAAGCTGTTTTTATTTTAAATATGGGTCATCCTAATGAAAGGAATTTTTTTAAGATTTATAAGCCTTTCTCAGAACTAATAAAATAAAATTTAAAAAGGAATCACTTTGTTCGTGAATAAAATTGTATGGTATACAAATATGGCCAGAGGCATCAAGCTAAAAGGTTGGCATCAAATTTCATTACCTATAAAATCATGTTGTTGCAGTTACTGATGTAACAATAAGGCACTACCAATAAATAAATGAATAAGTTCAGATTTTATTATTTTTTTAAAAGATATCCCATTATTTAACCATGTTCTCATCTTATCTGGGGAAAAAAGGGAAATGGTACTTCCGTTCTCTTTTTTGGGAGTTACAGAATATGAATATGATCTAATTTTCATCATGAAAGGGATAGAAGACTCTGAGAAAACAGAACACAGGCCAGAGGATAACAGTCAGTGAGAAAGAGAGCTAGAGTCGAGCCAGTGGCAATAAAACAGCATAGAGTATGGGTAGGAATATGACCAAGTGGTATAGCACAGGGAATCTGGCGTCCTGAATCAGCAGAGGGCACAGTATATGTACTCAGACCTAGGGAGCTGGCTCAGAATTGCCTGGAAGGTGGTTTTATCCCAAGAAACGTGGTATGGTATGCCAATCCAGCCATAAGGTCAGGAGAGAATTTTTGATCTGCAGTCCACACAGGTTCCTTCTCCTTTTTCTCCTTTTCATCTCTTTTTCTTCTTTTCTCTTTCTCATTCAATCTTTAACTTGTCTAGTCTTCATTTATCATATTTTAAATTAGTGAAAACTCTTTCAGCTTAGATAAGCCTTATTTTATTTGTCCTCAGCACATTGTTGGTAGGATTTGAGAAGTGAAAACTCCTTTTTAAAGGTGCTTGAGATAAAAATGTTAAGGCCGGGCCAGGTGACTCATGCCTGTAATCCCAGCACTTTGGGAGGCCGAAGCAGGAGGATCACGAGGTCAGGAGTTCAAGACCAGCCTGGCCAACATAGGAAACCCTGTCTCTACTAAAAATACAAAAGTTAGCCGGGTATGGTGACTCGTGCCTGTAGTCCCAGCTACTCGGGAGGCTGAGACAGGCGAATCACTTGAACCCGGGAGGTGGAGATTGCGTGAGCAGAGATCGCACCACTGCGCTCCAGCTTGGGCAAGAGAGTAAGACTTTGTCTCAAAAAAAAAAAAAAAAATCTTCAGGTAGCAAAATTCTGAGGTCTGCCATTCAATTTTACTCCTATCTTATTCCTGAATACAATAAATTCTGGAAAAAATGCTCAAAGTTAGATGAGCAAAAATAATTTCTACTCTTTCTCTCCATACACGTGTGTGTGTGTGTGTGTGTTTGTGTGTGTGTGTGTGTGTGTATTCTCTTTCACTACATATTATATTCACCGTATGGGTGGTAGTAAATGGACATTTCGTAACATGATAAAGTCCTCAAGGTTCTTCTATGTTGTCGCACATTGAAGTATATCCTTCTTTTAAAAGGCTGAATAGTATTTCATTGTATGGATATATTTCATTTATATCCATTCATTTACTGATGGGTATTTAGGGTGTTACCAAATTTTGGCAGCTGTGAATATTGCTGCAGTGAATACCGGAGTGGTAATGTCTTCTTGAAATTTTGATTTTAAATCTTTTGGATAAATACCCAGAAGTGGAATTGCTGGATCATATAGTACATCTATATTTAATTTTTTGAGGAAGCTTCATACAGTTTTCCATGTGATTGCAACATTTTGCATTCCCATCAATAGTATACAAGAGCTCTGATTTCTACACATTCTTGGCAACATCTATTTTTTTTCTCATTCTGGTTTTGATTTAAATTTCCCAGATAATTGGTGTTATTGAACAAGTTTTCATATACTTGTTGGTTATTTTACGTAATCTTTGGAGAAATAACTGTTCAAGTTCTTAACCCAATTTTTTAGTTGAGTTATTAGTATTTTTGCTGAGTTGTAGCAGTGCTTCAATGTGTGTGTATATATATATATATAGTAGATGAAATCTTTGTCAGATATATTGCTTGCAAATATTTTCTTCCATTCTCTAGGTTGCCTTTTTACTCTGTTGCTTGTTTCCTTTGCTGTGCGGAAGCTTTTTAGTTCATGTATGCTAACTGAAATAGCCATTCACAAAAGAAAATATGGCCTAATTCTACTTATAGATGATATTTAAAATAGTCAACTTCATAGAATCAAAAAATTGAATGGTGGTTGGTGGTTGCCAAGAGATGAGGGCAGGGTTGGAAATGGGGAGTTACTAATCAATGGCCACAACGTTTCAGTTAAGCAAGATGAAGTTCTAGAGATCTCCTGTACAACATTATACATCGACTCGACTGTGCTGTATTGTACTCTCAGAAACTTGTTAAAAGGATACATGTTATGTTGTATTTTACCACAAAAAGTTAATTTTAAAAAGCGGTTTATCCATACAATAATATATTAATTCGTCATAAAAAGGGACACAAATCTTGATATTGATACATGGATGGACCTTAAAACTATGAGGCTAAGTGAAAGAAAGCAGACACAAAAAGTCACATATTGTATAATTCCATTTCTATAAAATATCCAGTATAGGCAGATCCATAGAGACAGGAAGTATGTTAGTGGTTGTCAGAGGCTTGAGGGCAGAGGCATACAGGAAATGACTGCTAATGAGTAGGGGATTCTTTTTGGGATAATAAAATGTTCTAGAATTAGATGGAAATGATGGTTGTAAACATGCTAAAAACCACTAAACTGTACATTTTAAAAAGGTGAAATTTACAGTTCATAAAGTATATTTCAATTTTTAAAAAATCAAAAAATGAATTATGTTGCATGTGAATTACATTTTAATCAATTTTTTGTGTGAAAAGATATTTTTCTTAACCTCTTGTGTTAACAGGCAAAACTTATACTTTCTTTCATGGCATTTATTAAAAACTGAATTTAATATTTACCTAGATCATTGTTTTCTTAATGCCATCTCCCCCAAATTCTTCAACACCTTAGAAGCGTTGTGTGTGTGTGTGTGTGTGTGTGTGTGTACATTTGCATGTGCTCTTACTTTATTCCCAGCAATGGAGTAGAGACTAACACAAGTTCCTCAATGAATAGTTGTTAGTTCAATGAGTGAATGAATGAAGAATATCAATTATCTAATATACTATGGTATTTCTAACCTAGGTTAGTACATGTGTTCATAGAGAATGTTACATTTAAAGTCATTAGTATTTCCACAAAGGGAAATTTAAATTCTGTCACTTATTTTAGAACTCAGCTCTCAAGAAAAAAGTCAACTCTCGAATTGAGACACATTGAATAACTAAAGTTGCAAATTATAAAGATGTAAATGGCTATCCCAGATATTCTTTCACACAAGGAATGTAAATATTGTGACAAATCACCACAATGTATTGGTGAACAACTTTAGTAAAGTAAGAAACAAATTTCATCATGTAATCTAGGAAACTAAGTGTCCAAACTGTGACTGATAGAAACAAGAGTATCTAGGGTAAATGAGAAACAAGATTTGAAACCTGTTGAGCTCAAAGCTAGTTTATGGAAAATTGTTCCAATCATCAGATGTATAGGGTTGTCGGCAGAGAATTCATTCTCATTAAGTCCTAACAAAAATGGAGGATGATTCCTACCATACAAAGCAACATAAACTCAGCGTATTACACTCCTTTTTTGACAAACTGATCAATGAAGATTGCAAATTCAAACAGTAGTAAAGTTTTGACTCTGCACAAAAAAACTTGAAATATCCTGAAATCTTAATGTATATATATATATGAAAATTTATTTTCTCTAATTTGACAAAAATAAAAAAAATCTAAAACATGTTCTGAAGATTTAAGTAAACTAACGAAAACCAAAAATAAATTTTTATGAACAATACTAAAGAGAAACTACATTATTTTTGTTTTTCCCTATCAAAAATATTTTATGATATTGTCATATGAAAGAGCTGGTAGAAAAATATGCAGCGAAAAATAATAGGAAAAAGGTGTCGCAGAATTGCATTACTCTAGATGTGGTGTTTGTGCAGTTTGACAGTTTTGTGAAATTTTTTTATTTGTTTTGATTTCTTTCCTCATTCTAAAAAATTAGAACTTCATTAGAAACTTTATTCCTCTTCACAGTTACTTTTTTCATATATAGCTTGAGTTGTTTTACTTAAAGACCTCTGAGTTTTGTAAGCTTCAGGTCTCAAAAACCTGTGTGTACTCCAATTGATTAGCTTTCTGCTCTTTCCTTTGCTCATGCATGGGGTTATTCTTTGCCCAGTCATTCATGTAGAATTTTAGTAGTCCTATCAGACTAATACAATTGGAACCATATCAAAAGAATGGCTAGAATATGAAAGAAAAAATCTGGAAAGGAGATCTACTAGAGTGGGGTCGGGAAAATAATAGAGGGTAAAAATATTGAGAAATTCGTGAGTTTAATAGTTTCAAACAACTTTTGAGAAATCAAATAGGAGAAGAAATCAAAGTGGCCTTTGGGAACGACATTATACACTACAGATTATAATAGAAAGCGGGGAACATTTGTGAGGACAGTGAGAGAGTTGAAGCTGTGTTGTAGTAACTTGACAAAGGAATTTGAGAAAGAGGTAGAATATTATTGAAAGTGATTTGGCAGTAAGATGTGGGATAAAAATAAAATAGATAATGAAAAATAACCCTAAAGAAGATTTTTGTTATTTATTTATTTATTTA
The DNA here is from genome assembly GCF_000001405.40 of Homo sapiens. Taxonomy (NCBI): domain Eukaryota; kingdom Metazoa; phylum Chordata; class Mammalia; order Primates; family Hominidae; genus Homo; species Homo sapiens. Next base: position 179,338,392 of record NC_000004.12, on the reverse strand, counting down.
TTTATTTATTTATTTATTTCAGACAGAATCTAGCTCTGTCACCAGGCTGGAGTGCAGTGGCACGATCTCGGCTCACTGCAACCTCCGCCTCCCAGGTTCAAGCGATACTCCTGCCTCCTGCGTAGCTGGGATTACAGGCATCTGCCACCATGCCCGGCTAATTTTTTTGTATTTTAGTAGAGACGGAGTTTCACCATCTTGGCCAGGATGGTCTCAATCTCTTCACCTCGTGATCCGCCCGCCTCGGCCTCCCAAAGTGCTGGGATTACAGGTGTGAGCCACCGCGCCCAGCCGATTTTTGTTGTTTCTAAAAGTAGTCTTGTGTTGGAATGTGCAACTGGGTACATAGGTAGGATAATTTCACCCTGTACATTCCCTTCCCTTCAGAGCATGGCTTCACGTCCTCACCTCAATCAGATGCCCTCAAACATGGCTCCAGTACTTTTTATTCTATTAACAGAACTCTATCAAGGTCATTCATAGTATTAGTCTTTCTAAATTCAGAAGAAATTTTTTCAGACTTATCTTTTTTTCACTCTGCCATAGCGTTGTGTTAATTCACTCTCTGATTTTAAAAATCATTTCATTCTTTGCTTCTTATAACACCACAATGTCCTGATTTTCCTCCTACTTAGACATTTTTGTAGGCTTCTCATCCGCTAACCAGCCACTGAATTTTAGAGTTGCAGGCGCCTCTGAATCAGGTCCCCTTTCCTTGTATGATTCTGTATCTCTACACACATTCTCATAACTGTAGTTATCCCCAAATATGAATGGCTCCATATTCACGTCTCCTGGAAAAAACTCTTCACCATGTTGCACTTGCCTGCTTGACACTTACAAAACTCAAATGGAACTCCTGATCCTTAAACTTCTCATCAAATAAGCCTTTTTTGTTTCTAAATTGTAATTAGTCCCATCCAAAAACCCAACCTATGAAATCTATGTAAGCCGGAAATCCAGTGTCATTGTGATGCCTCTCTACCCTTATCCTTTCGTATCCAATCCATTAACAAGTTCTAGCCATATTTTTCCTATATATATCCTAACACTGTCTACATCTTTCTATATCTATTTTTACTTCTCAAGTCTAAGCTTCAGTTATCTTAATATTCATGAACCACCACCCTAATTTTTTTTCTCTGCCTTTAATAGGGTGAGTAGATATTTTGAAAAGTAAATCTTACTGTGATGGAATCTTTTGTAACATCTTAAAGCTTTGCTGTTGCTCACAGAATAAACACCAGAATACTTCACACAGCAAAAATGTCACGTAACTATCTGCCCTTAAATCCGAAGTGTGCTGTTGGACCGTACACATCCTTGGATTGTGTGCTGAAGCCACACGACCTATACTCAGTGTCTCAAAATTGCTTTGCTCCTGCCATGGAAATTTACACATTATTCTAGTTCTGTCTGGAATATTTTTTCTTCTATGCTTAATGAACTACCACTGAATCAGATCTCAACTCAAGTCCGATTTCATTATTGATATGATATTATGTAGTTTTATAGTTACATGCATAGTTATATATGTAGTTTATAATTGTGTGTATATATATAGTTTTATATATTAGTAGGAATAGATCATAGATAAATGTATAGATAGAAAGAAATAGATCCATAGATTAATGTATAGGAAATTGTTTTCTATCTTTATAAAAATAGGTGGGATAAAAATTGTGAATACCGGTTTTAAGCAGTTTTGCTAGAAACTCTGCACCCACTCCAAAAATACAGAAAGTGTTTAAAGAGAGATGCGTAAAATCTTAATAACAGTTTTAGAAAGGCAGAATAACTTCTCCTTTGGCTGGGAAGGTCAGCTAATATACTCTCCAGAGACCAAGTTGTAAGGTGTACTAGGCGGATCATCACTGAAAAACATATTTCTGGGACCTAGGACCATTTAATTGCTGAAAAATATAGTAATGCCAACCTTATATTTTAAGTATGTATGAGAAATACTATATGTAATCTCCATGGTTTGTTGATGGACAGACTTTCTCTTCCACATGTTCTATCCTCTTTGAGTGAATATAATCTAGTTTGTGTGCAGCAAGAGCTCAGGAGAAAATGAATTTAGCAAACTTCCTGCAAACCAAGTTCAACCACATAAGCCACTATACCACGTAAGTGAAATGAAAATGCAGTTCCTGAATCTTTCTTGTGTAAGGTGACATCCCCCACTGTGGAACAGAATAGTCTATATGGATTAATGAACAATTAATTTATTTGTACTACTTTCTACTTATTAAAAGATGGACACAATAATTCTGCAGTATTAGAAAATTTCCCAAGTTCTTTCTTCTCACTTACATTGCTGGACTTCTACTTATACATATTTTCTTCACTGCATAAAAACCTTGTAAAGTTCACCAAAGGCTGTAGAAATTCCTCTGCAGTGCAGACAATGCAATCAAAATCCACATAAAGATTCCCACTACAGGGTAAACTCTCAAAAATATTTTCTGGCACTACTTGACAGCATTGGAAACACCAGGCCACTTTTGAATGCAATAAATAGACTCTAACATGCAACGCATATACCTGGACACATTCTGGAGACATTTAGGCAATAAGAAATTTGATTTAATGGAGTAAAAGGCAGAAGAGGTCAATGGAACTAGCTGACCAATATTAATCACAGACTTGTTAAAACTGTTCTCAAGAAACAAATACAAGTAATAATTTATAGAAAGAGGATTAGACACATGAGCTGTATGTACCAGATGTCAGCATGCTATTCTCAAATTTTCTAAATTCAACAAATGCTTCCTAGAGTGAATTTATTCTTCTAAATTTAGCAGCTTATGAAGGGAATTTTTAATAAGCAAGAAATACCTGTAATCTGTTTAAGTTGTCTATATTAATTAAGAAAATTGGCTGCAAAGCACACTTAAAGCCTATTCTTCATGATACACAAAACAACTTTACCTACATAGTTTATCTTTGAAAAACGAGTTTATTTTCCCATACCCCTGCAATTAACATATTTGAAAATACTCACAAAATATAGTCCATGCGTGACTAATGTATTTCACAGCCTAACTACTCTGTTTCTTTTAAACTTTGATTTATTGAGTTATGGAAATATTTCTTCTTAAATACATTTTACTTATTAATTTGATATCTCTGAGCATGGGCCATCTGGTGGCCTATAGTGGGTGCATTTTTAGACTAATGCAGAACTTCTCCAAGAGGGAATTTAGTGGATATCATTTTAATTTAAAAAATTTCCTGACATTATGGCGTATTGATTTTTTGCTCTAAAATAATTTTAAAGACAAGGAGAATTAGAATTATGTTTGATTTAAAATTTGAACCTGATAACCTTCGGTAGAATTATATCAGTTCACACCATCATTATTTTGTACACACACAAAAAAGGAAAAATAAATATATTCCACCATTATTCCATCATTATTCTCTTTCTCCTGTAACTTCGTGTTATGAATGCCTCGGTCCAGCATTATTCAGCTTCCCCATATTTGCTCACTAGCAATTAAGGATTCTTTGATCTTCGAGGCTGCTATTGTATAATTGATCAAAGGTTTTGAACCTTAAGATAGAGCATAAGAGATTGGATTCTGAAATGTCAGTTCATCCACTCTAACTCTGACAAAATAAGTTTCTAGTCAGATTATTAAATACATAAAAAAGAAAAAAGTTTGTAGAATTAAGTATTACTAGATCATAAACACACAAAGCTTTTTACTTGCTTTTCACAAATGACAGTTTAAGCATATATGCTTGGATTTCTTAAATATATTACTTAAATGGATTTTTCTGACAATATTCATATAATTAATTGTGTTTCTTTTATTATTGAAATTAATAGCAATGCCAAAAATGTCATACTAATTTTATCTACTGACCTGAAATTAAATCATGCTTGTTGAATTTTGAAGGTTTTGGGCATTACGAATAATGCATAATATTTCATGCCAGAAGAGTTCTGACACAGGTCATTCCAAAACCTTGGAAATTCAATGTTAGCCTTCGCTTTCTTTACAAGATGAGAGTAGCTGTAAAAAGAAAAAAAAAAAAAAGAAAAGAAAAAGTGAACTTGCAAAGTAAATGTCATTCTAACCTCAAAATACTCTTAGAGTGTGTTTGAAGATACAGCAGTGAAACTGACCATGATAGGAATTACCTATTGCTCATGCCACTACCAAGGGAACATTGATCTCATAGCCTCACTCAAGCTTAATTAAGTTGTAGTGAAAGCTACTCCTGAAGCCATTATATACATGGTAGGCTTCAGAAACCTCATTGTCTCAGAGTTAGGGCTAATGTTAGAGTTGGGAGAGAGACACAAAATATCCTTTTGTTTTCCCGGTGTTCCTTAGATTTCTTTGCTAACTTCCTTGTATATCATACATTCAACAGCTCTTACTTTTTCAGTACAATTTTCAAGGTTAAATCAATGTTGCTGAAGTGTGAAAGCTTTTCACCAAGTTCCAATAGCATTTAATGCATTGGCAAAAGACTTTTTGGCTTTTAATTCCATAGAGATATCAAAATAATATGGAGTAAATACTTCCATTTCATAGGATTTACATGGATACAAATTTCACAATAATTTTGATCTATAATTAAATTAAATTTCCCTATAGTCTTATTTTTCCCAGTGAAGTTTCTCAGGATATTTATTCTATGTATGTTTTAATAAGCCAGTTATTTTTAGGTAGAATCATTGAGAGAAGAATAAAAACAAGTGTGTTGTCTTTAGAAAATGAAATGATAAAACTTAGCTCTGATCCATTGAGGCTTTTAAAGTATAAATAAATAATAGAATATGAGGTGGGGAGAGTTTTGGTTCCATTTACTAGCATATTTTTTGACTACACATTATTGAGCTGCTGTTTTCTCTGTGGTTCTCTTTTTACAGCAGTTCATTTCACTACTTTTACTTTTCTATAATTTTTTTCTTTTCTATGACAACAGATTTTACTAATTTTATGTAGCATAATTTTGTACCATAAAGAATGCATATCTGAAAGGTTGGAAGTACAGTCACAGTCCTGATAAAAAATTGAGGTATTATTTTGAATGCCATTTGATCCATTTGCAATCATTCAGCACAATTTAGACTTCATCATTCATTTAGTCTTCTCATACAGGGCTGACACTGTGTTATTATCCATTGCAAAGATCTTTTACAAATCCAAAAACAAGTCCTGACTCAGTGAATAAATGACTCCCACCACATATTCCCAGAAACCGTACAGTAGTCGCTTTCACGTGGTTGATATATGCTACATAGTAGCTCTCCAAAAATGGATACCAGTTTAATGAACGTTTTATTTCTGTGTTTTCAATTTTATTCTACTTCTTGCTATCAGTTCACTACTTCTTGCTATTAGTTCAGCATAGCCTATAGTGCTAGAAAAAAATTCTCTTTTCTTGCTCCCTCTTTTATCTAAAGTGAGAGGGAAATTTAACTTTTCCAGTACTGTAGTCTATGAATTCTTATCATTTCCCAATTTTAACACTTGTCCAAAACATATCTTGATGAATATTTATAGAATGAAGGTAACATTTTTTTATTTGCACTTTGTTGTGATTTGCCTTTAGATAAAATATGAACAAAACACAGAAGCTACAGTATCCTAGAGCAGTAATAATACACATTCACACATACCCTTGTTCCCCATATACTGGCATGGTATTAAAGGCCATAGAGTAAGAAAAATAGTATCTGAAATTGTGAAATAGATGGCATTGTTTTATTCTCCACATAGCACTCTTGATTTTTTTTTCAAATGACATTTAAAAGCCATTCTTAGAGGACAAATAAATCTTAATTATAAATTATAATATGTTTATAGCTACCATGTGAAAGACAATGTAGCTATTTAAGATTTTTTATTCTTTTAACATCTGTACTTCATTTAGAAATCCACTGATTCAAAAACAAGCATACATTACTTTTAAAGGGGAAAAATTAATGAACAAATTTCTAAATAAATGCATGGATTCATTTTTTACAGATAGTGTATATTAATGACAAAATTCCTAGAGTGCTATTATTCTTACTATGTCATTTTGGCACAGATTTAAAGCAAAATGACATGCTCATCTTCTCTGTACAACACTTCTCTCCTTGTGACTTTGAGAGAAGAAAGGGTTTGTTCCGGTTTGCTGATTTCCTTTTCTTTCTCATTTAAGGGAATTATATTTGCATGTTTCCAGTTTGCCTGCAGAACACACATGTATGTTACCTGTCTCCGGACTCTGTTCCAACAATGTCCAGGAGTATATGTTTTGTTTGTTTCAGATGTTAGAGGCCTGAGCTAGCCTCACTTAGATGGCTGCAAATTAAAAAAATGCAAATTGTTCTGACAAAGTTTTATTTCCCAAATACATAATTTCATCCTGTTGGCCTACAATTCCTGAACATCGCTTAACCATTCATCCATTCATTTGGCAAACATTCTTAAGCATTTGGTGTGTGTCAGGCACTGCTCTGAGTACTAAAGATACAAAGTCAAATAGAACATCATACCTACACCAGGAACTCACCAGCCTAGTGTGGAATAAAGAAAATAAATCAGTGGTTGTGTTAATGTAATTGATGTTAGGTCATTATAGTGCAGCAATTGAGGAAAAAGCCATCTGATTTCATTCCTTTTTGATATTAAAGCTCCCTTTTGAAAACACCAAAGAGCCTCTGGTAAGGGTGACATACTAAACTTTTGTCAACTCATAACAACCCAGTTGAAAGTAGATTAACGGATCATCTGTGGACACAGTTTAAAGCAGTGTTGATAGGGAAGAGGAATGTGAAGACCTCATGGGCGCAGACTATGGTTCGGAACTGGCTAGGAGGTAAACATCCAGTGAAAGGATACATTATATGGCTATCCTGAGGGCAGGAAGCCTGCAAAGACGTATCAGAAATGCAGGGAAATCCACTTTAGTTACTTTGGCTCAGGTCTCTTGTTCTCATGTAAAGCTCACATAGAAACATTTATTCTTGAAGGAGCAAGGATTACAAAATCTTGCCGCGCATCTAGTGGCATAGCTGTTTACACAGTGCAATCGGATTTCTTGCCTGTGTGGAAAAGAGCGGTGACCTTTCATAGCAGCTATATTAGGGTCTTTATTAGATCAGTGTGCAGCTAGTGGCTCATCAGTCTGTGGGCTGTGCAAAGGTGATATTAAAGCAGGTAGAGCACCAGCCAGGGTCTATCTAAAGAAAGGAGCTTGTTGCATCATCAATGTTTCTCATGCAATAAAGCAATTCTTTTAGCTGGTCCCAGTAGAGAGCAAAACATTTAAAGGTCCTGGATGCAGCTGGGAGAAGGTTTTAGATAGCTCAGCCTAAAGACATCAACAAAGGAAAACAGTGATGCAAACACTAAGCTGAGAACTCTCTTCAGTTCAGAGTAGGAAATACATAAATTACATGGCCATATAACGTGTTAATGATAAATTCAGAGTAGACACATTTCATGATGTGCAATAACTATAACTTTCAGAGCCACAAATGAACCCCTGCGGAAAAAACCTTGACAATTTTCTGGCAGAGAGAAAGGACACAAAGAGTCTCAAAGAAGAAAAACTCAAATTATTTATTTAATAAGTAAATACAAAACAGCCCTGCTGCTTATCACCTTTTAAAAATAGACTTGATTAATTAGGACAAACACATTTTCTGAATGCTGCTAAAATGAGCTTTGGCAAATTTTTCGAAGGAGTTTATTTTCTATGGAAGTGGTCTCCAAGGGGAAGGTTTTAGAAATTTTTGAGAGAGCCAAGAGGGGAGTCAATCAAATCTTCTCCCCAGATTTTAAGGAGTTCTATTCCTTCAGGCGGTCCAGTCTCAGGACATGTACAGTTGTAAACATCATCATAATAAATTCACATGGACAAACCTTTTATTAGGTATATTTGCTGTGTTTCCAGATTTTTATGGCCAACCTATAAAGCTGTCTAATATTGTTATAAGTATGCCCTCTTGAAATTCCACAGGTTCACTTTAGCTTTTCTAGGAAATAATAAAATTCCTTAAATTTCCTTTGGAAAAAAAAACTATTTTACCTAAAAAAAAATAAATAAATAAATTGACATGGAAGCAGAAGGGATTGAAAGCTTACACTGAGGAGGAATTTATGAGCCCTGTCTTTAGTAAAGACCTTAATCTGGAAATACGCCATTCTTTCCTTAAGATTCAATTTTCGCCAAGAGCTTTTAAACCTAAATTTGAATGGTACAGAAAACAAACATGTAAAAGAAGTGCATCAAAACAAATCCTAGTATCTAAAGTTATTGCCAGCTTTTTGTTTGTTTGGTTTAACACTGGTCTGGTATACCTGATATTTGATTTTGCTCAAAAAATGCATTTCCATATGTATTTTGAATGATAGCCCTAATGAAATTCAAGTCCATTATTTATTGTTTGCCAACTATGCACACATCATACAAAATATAGAATCACATCTTTCTAATCTTCACAAAAATACTGCAAGATATTATTATCCCCATTTATCATTAGAAAAAACTGAGATTCACCGAAATTTTGAAGTCTTAAGCTGCTGGCAAGGACAGCATTCCAATCAAAGTCTGCCAAATTGTGAAGTCAAGACTTTTTATACCAGCCTATCTATCCTACCTTGTGCCACAGAATGTTCTTAATATTTGTTACATATGAAATTGCTTTGAGTGCTTAATAAAGTCTATGAGGTAGATACAAATTTATCTCAGATGCTGAAACCAAGGTAAAAAGATGTTTTGCAAAGTGCCAAAGCACTCAACTAGTTAACAACATAGTTTGTACTGCAACATAAATTAGTGATATTCCAAAGTTCATATTCACTGTAATATAGTATGCATTCCCTCAGAAATAAATATTAACAAACTAACTGAAATAGTGCATTCTTGGAAGTTTTCTAGACATGGTAAATTTGAGTGGAACAATAATATGATATCTAGTTGGTGGCTCCTTTTTCTTTTTTCATTTCTCTGGATGACCTACTCGTGTATCTTTCTGAGGAGAAAGCAGATGTGATTTATTCTGCCCACATTCAGCCGTGACTGGTTGACTCGTATCTTGCATCTGAAAATCTTGTCTCTACCTGTGTCGTAGCCGTATGATTGCCATGGTCCTATCCCTGTTCCAGGGGAGCACAGTGACACTTATTGGCCCAACACAGACTCTCAGAGGAGCAGATATAAACACACAAAAACTTCATGATGATCCTCAAGCAAGGGAAGTGGAAGAAACAGTTTCCCTAATTCTAAAATATTCAGCCTGAAATAAGTGTGCAGGCCTTTGTTTTGGACAGTGTTCATTTATACTTAAAACTGTTACTGGCAAGGTAGGGACTGGTAGCCTGCTTTTTCTATTTGTCTAGTGATACATTGGGAAACCTGGAGTGTGTGTGTGTGTGTGTTGGGATGTGGGGTTGGGTTAGTGATTTGCAGCTTTGGTAAATCTCACAGTGTAAATATGTCCTTCGTGTTCAATTTCAGGCAACCAACGTGACCTCACTGAACGTGGAGTTAAAAAGGGGCGTGCCCGGTTGGCTGTCCTGAGCTAGCAGGAGCCTGCAGGAGCAGCTCTAGCACCGCCCGTGTTCCTCTATGGTCTAGGGCTTCAGCCTGTGTTTCCAACTTCACCTTATTCCTCCACCGGTTTCTCCTGCTATCCCTTCAGTGCTGACTTCTGTTCATCCTCAGAACCTTTCTGCTTACTGTACTCTGTCTACCTTGCTGCTTCTCAGACCTGGAGATTTCATCTCATCCTTCAGGACACCTTTCAAATGTTGCTTCTGAGAGAAGTATTTCTTCTTTAAACAGCCTATATTCTGTAGTGCCAAATTTCTCCCCGTCCTTCTACATTTCTATCTTTTGAATTAACCTTTTTGTTTTCTTCACAACATTTAGGGAAATGAGAAAATGTCCAGTTTTATTTATTAATTGTGTTATTATTGCTGCTTTTCTCTAGTAGAACATAAGTTTCAGAACATAGAGACTGATCAACCTTATTGACTTCTGTATATTAAGTGTTAATAGAGTTTTTGGCACATAGTGGGTACTCAGTAAACATTTGTTAAATGAATAAGCAAATATTTGTTAAATAAATAAGAAACACAGGTTGTTTACAAAAGCTTCAGTAACTGTATTGAGTTTAATAAGAAAATGCTGGGCCAGGACATAATTTTTTAAAGGAGTAATTGTCTATAATTTTGACCTGCTTACTTATTATAGGGGCAGCTTAGGGATAAAAGAAATGTCTAGGAGGACTGATTATTAATCTTAAATTCAAAAAGAAGTTGAGGGGGAATCTACTTTCTATTTGTTGGGTTAAAATTTGGTTTAAAGATTATTTTAAGAAACCCCAAACTTGTGTATTAATTTAATCATGTTAAAGCTATTCATTGAAATAGTTACAAATATATAAAAATATCTTCCTTTATTGAATAGACAAGTATAAGTAAAGATGTACTAATTATAGGTGGAATTATTATTTTCAGTTTTAATTCACAACCAATATTTTTCCCTATCCTAAATGGTGGGATGAGGAGTAAACCCTGAAGGTGTGTCCTTAGAGATGATGTAAAACTGCAACATTTGTGTGCTTCTCTGAAACACAGTGGGGCACTCCCTCATATCTGTTATCCCTCTTCCCTGGATTCTTTCATGCATCCCTATTCTGGGTCTTGAAACTGCATTTTCCAAAACTGTATTAGCAGTTAAAATGCGCCTCAGGCTCTGTTGCTACAGGACATTTTATTTTAAAAACTAATGTATTACTAAATAAAACTGTTGGACAATTAGGCTCAAAATAAGGTTGAGCAGTGTTCCAGGTCAAAATGAACAATTTCAAGATTTCGCTTTGGGTACCCTCTTCTCCAGTTACCATCAGTTTCTGTCCTCAGAATCTTTTTGCTTGCTTCACGGACAGGGCCCATCTCCATTCCTCTATTTGCATTCCCAGTGTACTATTTTTCCATCTACTGCATTCTCTACCATGAATCTTGGAAGGATAACATGCATTAATCATTTATTTTAGAATGTATTAGGTTAAATAAAGACGTATTAATTTAAATAATTGTTACATAGTTTGGTACTTTATTATAGTGTGCAAGTCATGAAGGTAGGGGAGAAAGGACTGAAATACACATAGGTGAATGCTACTCACAAGATGCTTGTCTCAGCTGGGCACGGTGGCTCACGCCTGTAATCCCAGCACTTTGGGCAGCCTGTGCAGGTGCATCACTTGAGGTCAGGAGTTCGAGATCAGCCTGGCTAACATGGTGAAAACTGTCTCTACTAAAAATACAAAATTTAGCCGAGTATGCTGGCAGGTGCTTGTAATCTCAGCTACTCAGGAGGCTGAGGCAGGAGAATCACTTGAACCTGGGAGCTGGAGGCTGCAGTGAGCTAAGGTCCAGCCACTGTATTCCAGTCTGGGCTACAGAGTGAAACTCCATCTCAAAAGAAAAAAAAAAATGCTTGTCTCCAATATGGAGTATAAGACTAGTCAAAACATGAATAAATACAAATTTGAGTCTATGTAAGCTAATAAATTGAGCTTCAAAAGTATACACAGTAAAATTTGGACATAGATCATATTGATCATATTGTCTGCAATTTACAAAGCAGAAATGGAGGTTTGGAAAAAAAGTAGTTTGCTGAAGATTTATGTAGCTATCTCTAGAATTTTGAATGTAAGATTATTAACTTCCAAGACTCCTGTGCTTCTTTCCATAGAATATGTGACTCGATGATACACAAAAAGTAATAAGCAAATTCTTTGAGAAAACTAGTGATACCAACACCTTAGGTGGTAGATAAAAGGAGATTGTTTAGTGTAACATGCAACTGAGTTGATCAAGATTTAAGGAATTTGAATGGATTGGTGTGGGAGCTACTTGGCTAACAAATAATTATGTTTCAGTAAACCTTAGAAAACAAGTAGGAGAGTATGCAAATATGCCTGCATTTGTACCAGTAATAGCAACAGGGGTAGTATGAGGAGTGGTTTTAGTTGTGATGTTGTTAGTACTGGTAGTATCATACAGCAATAGTAAAAAGGCTGCTGTGTACGAGACTGTGCTAAGTGTCTGACTAAACCTTTGTTATTTAATTTGGGCTTAATGATCACCTTTAAAAGCAGACAAGTGTGATTGTTAATTTTATGTGTTGCTTGGCTAGGCAATGATACCCAGTGGTTTGACCAAGCATCAATGTAGATATTGCTATGAAAGTATTTCTTTGTAAAAGATGTCATTAATATTTAAATCAGTAGTAGACAGTCTTGAATAAAGACTGTCATTTAAATCAGTAGGGTTTGTATAGAGCAAATGATCCTTCACAATGCACATGGGCTGTTTCCAATCATTTGAAGACCTTAAGAAGAAAGACTGAGGTTTACTGAAGAAGAAGGAATTCTGCCTCCCGACAGCCTTTAAACTCAATACTGAACACTGGATCCTGCTGAAATTTCCAGCCTGCAAATCTGCCTCATGGATTTCAGACCCTCCAGCTCCCACAGTCTGGTAATTCCTTAAACTCTCTCTCTCTCTCTCTCTCTCTCTCTCTGCAAATTTGTGTGCATGTGTGGGTACGTAAATGCACACATACACCCGTTGTTGGTTCTCTTTCTCTGGAGAACTCTAATACAATTTTATTATCTGTGGTTGAAGATCCAAAACAAATATGTGCTGTATTGATCTTCATTTTGTTAGTTTATCTGTGAAGAGAGTACTTGAATTATAAGAATCAACCAAATACACTATGCAATATGTGGGTGCTATTCAAAAGTGAACCGTCACAGCACAACAGCCTCTTTCTGGGAAGTCACTGAAAGACAATGGTGAAGAGAATTTCTCTCATTAGGCAGAAATTTTAGAGGTGCGCCTAGTTATTCATTTTGCTTGGAAGGAGAAATGGCCAGATATGCAATTATATAATGATTCATAGGATGTGGCCTGTAAGGTCTGGGACTTGAAAGGAACGTGACTGGTAAAATGATGACAAAGAAGCCTGGGAAATAGGTATGTGGCTAGAGTTCTCTGAATACACAAAATGCATGAAAATATTTGTGCCCCATAAGCATGCTCACTAAACAGTGACCTCAGCAGAGGAAGATTTTAATACTCAAGTGGATAGGATGATGCAATTTCTTGATGCCACTCAGCCTCCATCCCTAGACACCCTGGTTATTACCTAATGGGGTCATGAACAAAGTAGTCATGGTGGCAGGAATTGAGGTTATGCATGGGCTCAGCAATGTGGACTTCTGTTCACCAAGGTTGACCTGACTACAGCCACTGCTGAGTGCCCACTCTACCAGCAGCAGAGAAGAACACTGAGCCTCCAATATGGCAACATTCCCAGGATTGATCAGCTAGCACCTGGTGGCCTGTTGATTACATTGAACTGTTTCCATCACAGAAGCGGTAACATTTTGTTCTTACTGAAATAGACACTTTGGGTATAGATTTGACGACTCTATCTATACTCAATGCTTCTACCAAGGCTATCGTCTGTGGTATTGAAGAATGGGCATTATCTGTCATCATATCATAGTATTCCAAACAACATTGCTTCTGATCAAAGAACTCACTTCACGTGAAATGAAGTGCAACAGTGAGGCCATGCTTCTGAAATTGACTAGTCTTATTGTTTACCATCCTGAAGCAGCTGGCTTAAAAAAAAGGTGGAAGGGCCATTAGAAGACTCAGTTACAGTGCCAGCTAGGTGACAATGCTTGTAAGGCTGGGGCAAGGTTCTCCAGGAAGCTATATATGCTCTAAATTAATGTCTAATATAGCTAGGATTCACAGGTCCAGGAATCAAGGGGTGAAAATGGGAGTTGCATCAGCCTCCATTACTCCTAGTGATCCAATAGCTAAATTTTTGCCTCCTGTCTGCATGCCCCTGTGCTCTGCTGAACTAGACATCTTAGTTCCAATAGGAAATAGGCAGATGGACTCTCAGGTGAGTGGTGCAGCTGTGCTTGCTAGTGAGACTGGGAGGGAGACAAATTTATTTTGTTGATTCTCCGTATACAGGGGCTGTCTTCATAGATAAAGTAACAAATTGAAGACCAGAATGCCATCTGATGCATATTTTTTTACTTGCATCTTCAACATCAGATAGTAAAATTGTATTAGGGTTCCCCAGAGAAACAGAGCCAATAGGATGGATGGATGTAAATGCACACACACACGCAATCAGAGAGAGATTTTTAAGGAACTGGCCTAGGCAACTGTGGAGACTGGCAAGTCTGAAGTCTCTGGGGCGGGAGAGCAGGCTGGAAATCTCAGCAGGAGTCAGTGTTGTAGTTTTGAATCTGAAGGCAGTCAGGAGGTAGAATTCCTTCCATTTTGGAAAATCTCAGGCTTTGTTCAACTGATTGTGTGAGGCCCACTCACACTATGAGGGTTAATCTTCACTAAAATCTACTGATTTAAATGTTAACGACTCTAAAATATATTTTAACAGTGACATCTAGACCGGCATTTGAGCAAACTCTGGATGGACACCATGTGCCAAGTTGACACATAACATTAACCATCACAACAAGTATACATTTTATGTCCCTTTACTAGATGTGAACACTGAGATTCCACATAGCTTTCCAAAATTACATAACTTATAAATGGCACAACCAGGATTAAAATCCATTTGCATCTGAATAAAAGTCTATTTTACCACAAATAGTTTTCTTATATTAACTAATCTTACAGACTATTATAAGCTAGTATTAAAGATACTAGTAAGTATCTTGAGCGATAAATTTAAGTCAATATATTTTCCCCATTTTATTGTGTAAGTGATTATGGAACACTTGAGTCTACATATTGCTATAGCATGTCCAGAATCCTCAAATGTATAGCAACCACTATCCATGTTTGTTCTGATGAAGGCTGATCTTAATATTGACGCCTTGTGTATAAAAGCATAATGAGAAACAAACAAAAATAACTATGGGTTGGGTGTTGACAGTAAATAAGTGATTGAACTGTATGAACCATAGAAGGCTCAAGAATGTTGGAATGAAAAAGAAAAAAAAATTCTATTGGCTTTGATTTATCATTTTGAAGAAGAAAATTGGTTCTCTTTATTATTTTTTTTTCTGTTTCAGCAGCACAAATTGTTCTATGTGAAAATATTAAGAATTAAATGTTCATAGACGTGTTTAGTTTTTTTTTAATTACACATATATCTTTCAAAACATTTAAACCTATTATAGTTCTTCCAAGTATCATCATTTTGGTATATTTATGACCTACCTATTTTCTTAAAGGCAATCTTTACTTCTCATGTAAATGTAAACTTTGTTTTGTTTTGTTTGCTTTTCTTTACACTTTGATATGTTGTCTGAGTTCTATGTGCTCTATGATAACATTTATATATATATATATATATATATATATATATATATATTGGATTGCTCCCTTGGCTTTACTTTTGACTTATAAATTATTCACCAAAATTTCTTTTCCAGGTTGTTCTGTGAAGATGCTATACTGTGAATAACTAAGTTGAAATTTTATGGCAGAAGGAATGATTTTCTTTCTCATGCATTTGATATAGAAAACTTTAAAGGTGTGGTTTTATCCTTTGGAATGTGCTTTGACCCCATGATATGTGGCATTGAATTATGAAGACATACAGGTTATATGAACATCTTTCCTTGAAAGTTGCTATACTTTGTTTTACTTTTTCACAATTTATACTATAAAAACGTAGTGATTCTTAAAATAAAATTATAGTTTTATAATAAAAAAAGTTATCAATTTTCAAATATTCTATAATAATATATTTTAGCCAGTTTCTAAACTATCATCATTAAACAATCAGTTGATGTGTGTGCGCAAGAAAGAATCACTATACTATTTAAGAATTAGAAGTATCACTAGCAAGCTAGAATTTCAAATTGAATATATCGATTTTATTTCTCATTTAGGATTATTTCTGAATTCTTCGTTTACCTTCTATGACTCTAGATTTTATCCTTTGTATGGTTAAATAGAGATAATAGTAATTTATAAGTTACTAATGGGGTGGAGACAGCATATAGTTCTTTCCAATTTTCCTTTCTTCAAATAAATAGCAAGCTGCTTTAAATTCCTTCTTATTTTGGCAGGCATGTATGTTCCAATGTGCTCAGTTACATGGTAACAAAATCTAATATGCACAAACACACACAAAAATCACCTTGAAGCTTTGTGCATATACGCATTGCAAAAGAGATGATAGTTTTTTAATGGAATGTTTTGCAGCAATGCTTTTGAAGATGTAAACTAAATAATACAGGCTTTGTAAAAGGGGTCAGGCTTGACATCTCTTGGGCACAAATTATTGATAAATAGTAGGAGTGAACATATTATTAGAGATTTACATCAGGAGATTATAGTGGTCAGCCTATCTTAAAGGCAGCAGTACCCTAGAGATCGTGAGTCCCCAGCAAATGGGCACAACCAGCTGTCAGTGTGGTTTGACAGAGCAGAAAGAGATTCCAGAAAGAGTCACACAGTACTTGAGTTTAACCTGAAGAAGTATGGACACCAAGGGAACTATTTCAGGAACCTGCAGGGTACATGCTAAGTTTGTCTTTTGCCTGAGGTAGTCACCAATTATCTATGCTATAAATGCAAGCTAGTCTCTCTGCTAAAGGATAAGGTTAAAGGGCCGCAGAAATATTTCTCTATGTGCTGAGGCTTTTAAAAGGCTAAAAGGCTAAAATTTTGTCAAGAAAGAATATGAGAAATAATGCAAGAATAAAACCAGAAAGAAAAATAGCTGCCAAGGGAAAGAGACAATATCAATGAAAATAATATGTGAGAGAAAGAAAAATTAACAGAGAAAAAAGAAAAAGGAAGGAAAACTATGATTTGTAAACAATTACAAATCATATCTAATGAAGAGTGAATTGAGAAAAATAGAAGCAACAGAATTTGATGTTTCATCTACTAATAAAAATACTAACAAAGACAAGGACGTACAGGGCCCTTTTGCTAACTAATATTCACACAGTCATTCACTCATTTATTCTAGTAATTCAAGTATCACTAAATGTTGTAGTATGCGGTACTTCCCAGCTCAGGAATATGGAGTTTTGACTTGTACATATGACACAACGAATGGCATGAGCTTTACCTGGAAAGAATATGTGCAACGTGGGGGAGACAGCCAACCCATTTAACTTTAGACTTTTAATAGAGTCTGCTGATCTAAAGCCTTTCTCTAGTGATTTTTATAATTCTGTGCAGAACAATGCTGTATATTATGCATGACAAGTGCTTGGCTCTCTTATTTTTATTGGAAGGTATAGATCTGGGGAGCGGAAATAGGAAAGAGGAATTGAATATTTGTTATGTTAAATATAGTAGGACAATAAATTTTAATAGTAGAAAAACTTACTCTATATAAAAAGTGGCAGAAGGCTTCTCTGCTTCCTCAACTTTAGGTGTGTGATCTGCAGTAAATATACTCATTATATTTTACATTCCCTGTTTACAGACAGAATGTAATAATCCCTATGTTATAGTCCTTTTGCTTTTCTTAGCATATGGGGTAAGTTGTAATTACTATCGTAATCACAAATGACCAAAACAGGACTTCCAAATATCTATTTATTTTAGCCCGGGTGCGGTGGCTCTTGCCTGTAATCCCAGCACTTTGGGAGGCCAAGGAAGGTGGATCGCCTGAGGACAGGAGTTCGAGACCAGCCTGACCAACATGGAGAAACTCTATCTCTACTAAAAATACAAAATTAGCCGGACATGATGGCAGGTGCCTGTAATCCCAGCTGAGGAGGCTGAGGTAGGAGAATCACTTGAACCTAGGAGGTGGAGGTTGCCGTGAGCTGAGACCGCACCATTGCACTCCAGCCTGGGCAACAAGAGCAAGACTCTGTCTCAAAAAAAAAAAAAGAAAAAGAAAAAAAAGTGACAGAAAATAATGAGGTGGGAGAAATAATCAACTGATAAACCATATTAAGATAAATTATAAAGGAGGAAGAAATATAGGTAAATTACTCAAATTAGATATTTTAGAAGAAATCAGGTATTTCAAGTGAAATAAAAGAGATTCTGGTGCTACACAATGATACAGTTTGGGTATTTATCTCTTCCCACAAATCATGTTGAACTGTAATCCCCAGTGGTGGCATTAGGGCCTGGTGGGAGGTATTTGGATCATGAGGATGGATCCCCCAAGGCTTAGTGCTGTCTTCATGATAGGGAGTTCTTGAGAGACCTGGTGATTTAAAAGTGTGCGGCACCTCTCATCTCCCCAACTCGCTCTCTCTTACTCCAGCTTTCACCATGCGATGTGCCTATTCCCCCTTTGCCTTCTTTCATGACTGGAAGTATCCTGAGGCCTCCCCACAAGCAGATGCTGCTATACTTCCTGTATAGCCTGCAGAACCATGAGCCAATTACACCTCTTTTCTTATAAATTACCCAGTCTCAGGTAGTTCATTATAGTAGTGCAAGAACAGCCTAATGTACAGGATTGTTAATAGGGAATAATAGGAATAAGTGCTAACGATAGTACTTGTGACCTTACCCATAGTTTGTATATAAATTAATGCACATATTAACTTCAACAGAAAATATAGAAACTTCCAATTTGCAGCCCAGCATGTAAAGAGCTTAGAAGTTCCCACTTCATCCTAACAAGAAGTAAAAAGCTGAACAAACTAAGAAATCAAAAACTCTTCTTAGATCCATAAGACAAGTGAGATCACAGCACAAAACACTGCCCTCAAAATTAGAGATACCCTCAAGCAAATGCAGAGAATCACAACTTACTGCAGCAGAAACCCATGTGCAGAAATCACCACAGAAATTGGTACCAGGTTAGGAAACCTGAAATGTAATCAATGAATTGCTAGAGGCTCAGTGTGCTCAAGTCTGAGGCAGTCATAAGGATGTCCCCACCTTTGGTGAGTGTAATTTCCAGAACCTTGACTTTGTACTCATGGTAAATATCAGAAAAAATTATTTCATTCTTCTTACAGGGAAAGGGCAAAATAACCATTTTGAAATATGCTAGACATTCTTTTCTTCTTAACAATGTCTTCACTAAGAAAAAACTATTTAACCAGAGCCTAACCTGCTGGAGTTTTACCAGAGCCTAATCTACATGGAGAAAGGGAAATATACAACTCTTCTTTACTCTAGGTTCCAATGTGGAGAAGAGAAATACTCAACCACAGCCCATTTTACCTATCTGTCTCACTTAAAAGGGGGCAGAAAAGCACGTGTGATACTCACAGTCCAGAGGCACAGGCTTATTAAAAGACTAAGACCAAATTGTAGGATCATAGAATGCTTCCCCTCCCGCCACACCTAACTGCTACATCACAAAAATCCCATTTACAGAAGCTCCTTTTACACAGTATATCATACCTGGCTATCAAGAATAAATTACAAGGCATACTAACAGGAAAAATCACTGTTTGAACAAATAGAGCAAAATCAGAACCTGGCTCAGATATGGCAAGGGTGTGGTAATTAGACTAAGAATTTAAAGCAACTCTAATTAATATGCTGGAGGCAAATTCTTCCCTGGTCCTTCCTCATAATGGCTCCTAATGATGCAGAGATTGTGAAAACAAGTGCTATTTGTTAATTATGATAATGTACTTTGGATCTGAATTTGCTACCTTTCGTCATGGTAAGACACCAACTACTTAAGAAATAAAGATGTTTTAGTTCATTCTTAGATAGGAAGAACATTTTAAGAGATGTACTTTCTTTGAAAAATGGATCGAATTCATGTGGCACACTAGATGTGTTCATGAAGAAACTTATGACATAAAAAATATGCTAAGGGCTCTAATAATAAAAGTGGACAGCATAAAATAACATATCGGAAATGTAAGCAGAGAGATGGAAATTCCTAAAGAACCAAAAAGAAACGCTGGAGATTTAAAACGCTGTAACAGAAATGAAGAATGCCACTTGATGGGCTTATTAGTTGATATGGTTCAGGAAAAAAAAATTGCTGAGCTTGAAAATATCTCTATGGAAATCTCCAAAACTGAAAAACAACGACAACAAAAACATAGATTATCCAAGAACTGTGAGACAACCACAAAACGAAACTTTATTTAATGCAAAAACCAGAAGAAGAAGAAAGAAAAAGAAATCTTTGAAGCAATAATTACAGCGTGTCCTTTAATGTTGAACACTAAACCACAGATTCAGGAAGCTCAGAGAACATCAAGCAGCATAACGCCAAAAAAACAAAGAAAACAAAACAACACATCTAGGCACATAATTTCAACTGTAGAAAATTAAAGAAACATCAAGAGTACATAACAGTTTCTAATGTGTATGTTTCTAATAGCAGAACATCAAAATACAAGAAGCAAAAACTGACAGAACAGCAAGAAGTAATAGATGCATCTACTATTATACTATTATAGTTTTAGACTTCAATAACCCTCTATCAGAAATGGACAGATTCAGCAGGCAGAAAATTAGTAAGGATGCAGTTGAATTCAGCAACACTATAAATTAACTGGATATCATGGACATCTATACACTGTTTCTTCCAATAATAGCAGATTTCACATCTCAAGCTCACATGGAATCTTCATCAAGATAGACCACTTTCTGGATGAGAAAACACACCTTAACAAATTAGAATAAAATAAAACTCAGTCGATGTCTGCTCTCAGGTGACAATGTAATTAAACTAGAAACCAATAACGGAAAGATAGCTGAGAAAGCCCGAAATATTTGAAGATTACACACACACTAATAAAAAACACATGGAGTAAACTGTCTTAAGATAAATTTTAAAATATTTTGAACTAAATGAAAATAAAAATACAAACTGTCAAAATGTGTGGGATGCAGAAAAAGCAGGGTTTAGAAGGAAATATATGAAATTGCATATATTAGAAAAGAGGAAATCCTACAATCAATAATCTTAAGGTTCCTCCTTAAGAACCGAAAAGCAGAGCAAATTAAATCCAAAGTAAGCAGAATAAAAGAAATAATAAAAATAAGAAAGCCAGCTGTAGTGGCATGCAGTTGTAGTCTTATCTACTCAGGAGGCTGAGGTGGGAAGATCGCTTTAGCTTAGAGTCTAGCATGGGCAATACAGCAAGACCCTGTTTCATAAAAAGAGAGAGAGAGAGAAGAAACAAATGAAATTAATAACACAAAATCAATAGAGAAAATGAAAAAAGTATAAGCCCATAACCAGGCTAACTAACGAAATAAGAGAAAAGACACAAATCCACTAATATCAAAAATAAAAATGAAATAGCAATACAAATACCATGGACATAAAAAAAATTTGTTAATAACTCTATGCCCACAAATCTGATAACCTACATGTAATGGGTCAACTCCTGGACAGTCACAATTTATTAAAAGTCACACAAGAAGAAATAGACTATCTGAGTAGGACTATTTTTATTGAAGAATTGAATCAATAATTAGTTACATTCCCAAAGAGAGCACAAGGCCCAGATGAATTCACTGGTGAAATCTATCAAGCATTTAAGGAAGAGAGTTTATCAGATATTTACAATCTCTTTCAGAAGACAGAGGCAAAAGAAATAGTTTCTAACTCATTATATGAGGCCAGCATTACCCTAATACACAAAACAGACAAAGACAATACAAGCAAACTAAAAACCAATATATTTTATAAACATAAATGCACAAATCCTCAACAAAAATATTAGCAAACTGAGTCCAGCAGTGTATAAAAAGAATTATACATCATAACCAAGGACGATTTATCTCACTGATGAAAGGAGGATTTAACATGTGAAAATCAATTAATCCATCATATTAATAACCTAAATGTAAAGAAAATCAGATGAACAAATCAATAGATGCAGAAAAAGCATTTGAAAAAATCCAACCCCATTTAATGATAAAAACTCTCAGTAAACTCAGAATGGGGGAAAACTTCCTCAGCTTGATAAAAGACATCTACAAAAAACCTACCACTGACATAGTACTTAATGTTGAGAAACTTAAAGCTTTCCCAGTAAGATCAAGAAGAAAGCAATAATATACCCTCTTACCACTGCTTTTCAACATCTTATTGGAAGTTCTACGAATCCAATGACAAGAAAAGAAAATAAAAGGTATACATATTATGGAGAAGGAAATATAACTGTCTTTGTTTGCAGATGACATAATCGTCTATGTAGAAAGTTGAAAAGAATTGACAGAATTCTTTCTGGAACTAATAAGCAATTATAGCAAAGTGGTAGGACACAAGGTTAATATGCAGAAGTCAACCACCTTCCTATATAGCTGCAATGAACAACTCAAATTTGAAATTAAAAACAGAACACTATTTACACTAGCAATCAAAAAATGAAATACTTAAGACATAAATCTAACAATATACACGTACAAAATGTGTATGAGCAGAACTACAAAATCTGATGAAAGAAATCAAAGTAGAACCAAATAAATGGAGAGAATTCCATGTTTATGGATAGGAAGACTCAATATATTCAAAACGTCAGTTTTTTTTTTCAAATATATCAATAGATTCCACGCAGCCCCAGTCAAAACCCAGGCAAGTTATTTTGTACATATAAACACACTGATTCTAATGTTTATAGGGACAGGTAAGATACTCAGACAGAAGAAACAACACATTATTGAAAGAGAAGAAAAAAGTTGAAGGATTGACACTATCTGACTTCAAAACTTATTACAAACTGCAGTAATCAAGACTATGGCATTGTCTCAAGAGTAGACAAACAGATCAGTAGAACAGAATAAAGAGCCCAGAAACAGACCTAATAAATATAGTCAACTGATCTTTAACAAAGGAACAAAAGCAATGTAATGGAGCAAAGGTAGTCTTTTAAACAATTGATGCTGGAACAAATGAACATCCTCATGCAGGAAAAAAAAAAAGAATTTAAAGACATACGCTCCATGTGACAAAAATTAGATCAAAATGAATCTTAGACCTAAATGTAGAATGCAAAACTATAAAACTAAAAGACAGCATATGAGAAAATCTAGATGACTTTGAATTGGTGATGAATTTCTAGATATATCATCAAAAGCATCATTCATTAAAAAGTAATTGATAAGCTGGATTTAATTAAAATTAGAAATTTCTGCTCTGTGAAAGATACTGTCAAAAAATGAAG
This sequence comes from Homo sapiens, assembly GCF_000001405.40. Taxonomy (NCBI): domain Eukaryota; kingdom Metazoa; phylum Chordata; class Mammalia; order Primates; family Hominidae; genus Homo; species Homo sapiens. The sequence continues at coordinate 179,315,273 of NC_000004.12, read as the reverse complement.
AAAAAAGCCACAGACTAGGGGTAAATATTTGGAAAAAAAACAAACAAAATATCTAACAAAGGACTGTTATCCAAATTATACAAATAAGTCCTAAAGCTCAACAACAACAAAACAAACAATTCAATGAAAATGTGAGCTAAAGACCCTAACAGACACCTCACCAAAGAAGATACAGGTTGAAAGTCTTTAATCCAAAAATCCAAAATCTAAAATCCTGCAAAATTCAAAATTTTTGAGTGCTCACATGACACCAAAACTGGAAAAAGTCACACCTGACCTTATGTAACAGATTGCAGTCAAAACACTGGTGTGCAACATACAGTTTACTTGGCATTCCCAAGGGAAAAAGGACCCTACCAGCTCTATTTAGCTTCTCATGTCTTTGTGTGCATGCTTAGATTTCCTGACAAAAAGCACGCAAAAGGACACCCACAAAAAGTAATAACTCATGTTTGTTCAGGCCCAAACATGTCAAAGGCATGTTCCACACAATACCCCACATGGGGCCAAAGCCTACATACATTACTCATTATGTTTTTTTTTCTTATCATATTATGTAAAGATATTGTTGAAAATGTTAAATAGACCTGCAGATACCCCAATGGGTAACAGTGATAAGAAAACAAAGGAAGCATTTATTTTTATCTATACCACAAAATGTCAAACTATTGGAGAAAACTGGACAGCGTTGTAAGTGTAAAATGTCTTACAGAAGAGTTTGATATTTGAATGGCCACCATATATGACCTGAAGAATCAGAAGGAAAAACTGTTGAAGTTCTATGCTGAAAATGATGAACAGAAGTTCGTTAAAATAGAAAAACACTGCATAAAGATAAAAATGAAGATCTTGATTGTGTATTGAAAGTGTGCAACCATCAGCACTCCAGTGAACACAGGCCAGCTGATGGTATGCTGATCATGCAACAGTCATCTATCATAATGGACTGAGAACCGAAGAGAATTATTAATATTTAACAGGGTGATTGTAGAAATTTAAGAAAAGACATGGCATCAATTTTTTGAAGATTTGTGGTGATAAAGCATCTGCTAAACATGAAGCAGTGGAGAAATTTATGAGTTTGCCAAAATCATCACTGATGAAAATCTGACATCAGAATAAGTCTGTAGTGCTGATAAATCATCACCATTTTGGAGTTATTGCCCCAGAAAGACATTGATTACAGTTTATAAGATGGCCCTTACAGGAATTAAGGGTGCCAAGTGCATAATGACTGTCTTTGGATGTGCTAATGTAGTAGGCATGCCTGAATGTAAACTTGCTGTGATCCACAAAAGCTTGCCTTCTTACTATTTTCAAGGAGTGAATTTCATACCAGGTCATTATTATGTTAACAAAAAGGCATGGATCACCAGAAACATCTTTTCTGATTGGTTGCCCAAACATTTTCTTTTTTTTTATTTATTTTTTTTTTTTTTTTGAGACGGAGTCTCACTCTTTCGCCCAAGCTGGACTGCAGTGGCGCTATCCCGGCTCACTGCAAGCTCCGCCTCTTGGGTTCATGCCATTCTCCTGCCTCAGCCTCCCGAGTAGCTGGGATTACAGGCGCCCACCACCACGCCCGGCTAATTTTTTGTATTTTTAGTAGAGACGGGGTTTCACCGTGTTAGCCAGGATGGTCTCGATCTCCTGACCTCGTGATCCGCCCGCCTCGGCCTCCCAAAGTGCTGGGATTACAGGCGTGAGCCACCGCGCCCGGCCTGCCCAAACATTTTCTACCAGTGGTTTATGCTCACTTCAAATAAAATGAACTGTATGGCAACTGTGAGATTTTGTTACTTCTTAACTACTCTTCTGCTCCTTCTCTAGCTGACATTTTTATCAAATATAATATTTATGGCATGTATTAGGTTGGTGCAAAAGTAATTGCAGTTTTTGCCAATACTTTCCCTCAACTGTGATTTCATCAATTTAGCCATGTGATCAGGGTATTCTTACATCAATGAGGAGTAATTATATATATATAATATATATACTTTCTGAATAAAATGCTAGCTACATTGGACAGGGGTGTATTTGTGGAAAGTTTTCCAAAGAAATTTAGCATAAAAAATTCTGTATATATTGTTGCCAACACTTGGAACACAGTGACTGAAGAGAGTAGTGTATGCCTGACACAATCTCTGGCCTGCAATTATGTTCAATGTTGATGATAAACAAAGTGGTGATTTTGAAGAATTCTGTATGTCAAAAGAAAAAAATATGACCCTACATATGCAAAAATATACCTTCAGAGTCTGTCAGTAAGCTGGAATAAGTAAATACTGAAAATGTTTTAACATTGATAATGAGGCTCCAGTTGTCCATTTATTGAAATATAGCCAAAAATTGTTCTGAATTAAAATGATCATGACATTAGTGACAATGAAGATGACATTGTTAACACTGCAGAAAAAGTGCCTTTAGATATGATAAAAATGTGACAGGCTTATTGAAGGACTAGAACAGCATATATTTATAACAGAACAAGAAACCATGTCAGTGCATAAAATCAAAGACTTCTCAGACAAAAGTCATTGCAGATGACTCTACAGGAAACACTTTTCAAAAGCCATCCAGCTGAATGCCTCCTCTTCTGTAGAGGACCCAATTTCTCTTTCCTCCGCTGCTTCTGATATTTCTTCTCCTCACCTAATGAAAAAATACAGTGTACAGCAAACTTAATAAAAACAGAGCATCATAGTGTGTCCGGAATTTATTCCTTCCGGTGGGTTCTTGGTCTTGCTGACTTCAAGAATGAATCTGCGGACCTTCACGGTGAGTGTTACAGCTCTTAAAGATGGTGTTTCAGAGTTTGTTCCTTCTGATGTGTCTGGAGTTTCTTCATTCCAGTGGGTTCTTGGTCTTGCTGACTTCAGGAGTGAAGCCGGAGACCTTCGTGGGGAGTGTTATAGCTCTTAAAGGTGGTGCAGATCCAAAGAGTGAGCAGCAGCAAGATTTATTGTGAAGAGTGAAAGAACAAAGCTTCCACAGCAAGGATGGTGACCCAAGCGGGTTGCCGCTGCTGGCTCTGGTGGCCAGCTTTTATTCCCTTATTTGGCCCCGCTCACACCCTGCTGACTGGTCCATTTTACAAAGTGCTGTTTTTTCCATTTTACAGAGTGCGATTGGTCCATTTTATGGAGTGCTGATTGGTGCATTTACAATCCTTTAGCTAGACACAGAGCGCTGATTGGTGCGTTTTTAAGAGGCTGATTGGTGCATTTACAATCCTTCGGCTAGACACAGAGCACTGATTGGTGCATTTTTACAGAGTGCTGATTGCTGCATTTACAATTCTTTAGCTAGACACAGAGTGCCGATTGGTGCCTTTTTACAGAGTGCTGATTGGTGCATTTACAATCCTTTAGCTAAACACAGAGTGCTGATTGGTGTGTTTATAATCCTCTAGCTAGAGAGAAAAGTTTTCCATGTCCCCACCCGACCCAGAAGCCCAGCTGGCTTCACCTCTCAATAGGTGGAGACTGAAAACCTGCCATTGTTTGTTGTTGTTATTTAACAGCTGATAAAGGTATACAGTGCTGATTAATAAACCTGGACATATTTTCTTCACTGTATGCTACTATAAATATGAATATATGTTATTATACATTTATCTAAAACCATAGAATGTACAACACTAAGACTGAACCCTAACGTAAAGTATGGACTTTGGGTGATAATGATGTGCTAATGTAAGTTCATTGGTTGTAACAAATGTACCACTGTGGTGCGGGATGTCAATAATAGGGAAAGCTATGTATGTGTAGGGGTAGGAAACATATGAGGGACCTCTTTATGTTCTGCTCAATTTTGCTGTGAACCTAAAACTGCTCTAAAAATAAAGTCTATCTAAAATAAGAAATGTTATGCATTCTAATAAAAAGAAGTGAATACAATTTTTAGGTATGGGTCCGAGAATTGAAGTAAACCAATGGGAGGAAATAATTCAAAATAATTTTGTAGAAAAATTTAAAGAATAGCAATTTGTATGTGTTCATTATTAAACAAGGGGTTGGGATCAAGTAGCAATTAGTGACTTTAGTTAAATTTTTTAAAAATGTAATGCTGTAAGAAACAACATCTTAGACCGTTCATATAAAAAGAAAAACAGTTTTCTACTCTAACTTTGATTATAAAGTATGTGCATCATATAGTGAAGGTGAAATGTTTCTGTCTAGGAAAATACAAAATATCTCATTCTGGTTAATAATAATAATATGACTCGAAGTCTATTTTATCTGATACACATATAGCTACTCGTACTATTTTTTGACTTTCGTTTGTGTAAAATATCTTTCTCCATACCTTCGCTCTCATTCTGTGTATCTTTACAGTGAAGTTAGTTTCTTGTAGGCAGCATATAGTTGGATCTGTTTCTTAAAATCCATTCAGTCAGTCTGTCTTTTAATTGGAAAATTTAGTCCATTTATATTCAATGTTATTATTGATAGGCAAGCATTTACTACTGCCATTTTGTTATTTTTTGGTTGTTTTGTTACTCTTTATTAACATCTTTGTTTTTGGTTAAGTGATTTTCTCCTGTAGTATGTTTCAATTACTTTTTTTTTTTTTTTAGCATATCCATTGTGTGTTTTTCCTTTGTAGTTACCAGGAGGCTTACAAAAAAATCTCAGATTTATAAAAAGTTATTTTAAATGGAAAATAACTTAACTTTTATCACAATGAATGAAAAGAAACAAAGGCTGAATTCAGCCAAAGCAATGCTAAGCAAAAGGAACAAAGCCAGAGGCATCACATTGCCTGACTTCAAACTATAAGGCTACAAGAATTAAAACAAAATGGTACTCTGGCACAAAAACAGGCAAATAGACCATAGACCAGCAGAATAGGCAACCCAGAAACAAAGCCATACACTTACAGCCATATGATTTTCAATGAAGTCAATAAAAATAAGCAATGAAGAAAGGACCATCTACTAAATAAATGGTGCTGGGATAGCTGACTGCTTATATGCAGAAAAATGTAACTGAATCCCTCCCTTTTACCATATACAAATATTAACTCAAGATGGATTAAAGATTTAAATGTGAGCCCTCAAACTATAAGAATCCTAAGAGAAAACCTACCAGAAAACCTCTGGACATTGGCCTTGGGAAAAAATTTATAACTAAGTGCTCAAAAGCAATTGCAACACAAACGACAATTGACATGTGGGACCTAATTAAACTAAAGAGATTCTGCGCAGAAAAAGAAACTACCAATAAAATAAACAGACAACATGCAGAATGGGATAAACATTCACAAAGCATGCATCCATTAAAGATCTAATATTCAGAATCTATAAAGAACTTAAACAATTCAACAAGGAAAAAAGAAATAATCCCATTAAGAAGTGGGCCAACAACATGAACAGACACTTTTAATAAGAAGACATACAAGTGACCAATAAACATAAAAATATGTTCAACATCACTAATCTTCAGAGAAATGCAAATCAAAACCACAATAAGAAATTACCTCCCGCAAGTCCGAATGGCTATTATTAAGAAATCAAAAACAACAGATGTTGGCGAGGCTGTAGAGAAAAGAGAACATTTGTAAACTCTTGGTGGGAGTGTAAATTACTTCAGCCACTGTGGAAAGCATGTTAGAGATTTTTCAAAGCACTTAAAAGAGAAATACCATTTGACCCAGCAATCCCATTACTGGCTATATATCCAAAGGAAAATGAATCATTCTACCAAAAAGTCACATGCACTCATATGTTCATTGCAGCACTGTTCACAGTAGCAAAGACATGAAATCAATTTAGGATCCATCAAAGGTGGATTTTATAAAGAAAATGTGTTACATACACAGCACAGAATAATAAGCAACCATAAAATAGGAAAAAATCATGTCCCTTGCAGCAACATGGATGGAACTGAAGGCCATTATCCTAAGTGAAATAACACAGGAACAGAAAACCAAATACCACATGTTCTCACTTATAAGTAGGACCTAAACATTGGGTAAACGTGGACATAAAGATGGCAAAAATAGAGACTGGGGACAAATAGGGAAAGAGAGGGAACAGGACAAGTGTTGAAAAATTAACTCGGGTACTATGCTCACTATCTGAGTGACTGGATTAATTATACCCCAGTCTTCATCATGCAACACACCGATGTAACAAACCTGCACTTCTATTCTCTGAATCTAAAATAAAAGTTGAAATTACTATCTTTAAATGAAAAGCAAAGAATGAACTAAAAATACTCTACACTTTAACTCCATCCTCCAACTTTTTGATGTTCTTAAATCTCAATTTGTGTGTTTTTATATTCACCTATCTCTTAAAAAATCATTGCAGTAATTTTTGATACATTTGCATTTTGTGTTAATACTAGAGGTATGAGTGGTTTACACACCACAATTACAGTAATAAAGCATTCAGAATTTGTCTGTGTACTTAATTTTACCAGTAGGCTTTATACCTTCAGATGATTTTCTGTGTTGCATGTTAACATCCTTTTCTTTCTGATTAAAGAACTCTCTGTAGCATTTATTATAAGACAGATCCAGTGGTGATGAATTACCTTAGCTTCCATTTGTCTAGAAAAGTATCTCTTCTTCATGTTTGAAGAATAGCTTTGTTGGATAATTTATTCTCAGTTAGCATTTTTTTCTTCAGCAGTTTGAAGGTATCATCCACTCCCTCCTTACCTGTATGGTTTCTGCTGAGAATTCTGTTGCCAGACAAGTCAGAGCTCCTTTATATGTAATTAGCTTCTTTTCCATTGATGCCTATGAATATTTGTTGTCCTGATATTTGAGAGTTTGATTATTATATGCCTTGGGGTAGTGTTACATGGGCTGAATTTGTTTGGTAATCTTTGACCTTCCTGTACTTGGATATTTATATCTTTCTCCAGGTGTTAAAGTTTTCTGTTTTGTTTTTTTTTAAATATACTTTCTACCACTTTCTTTTTTTCAAATCCCTATGTTCAGTGACTCTTAGATTTGTTCTTTTAAGGTGACTTTCTAGATGTTGTAGACATTTTTAATTCCTTTTCATTATTATTTTTCTTTTTCTCCTTTGACTACATATTTTCAAATGTTCTGCCTTTGAACTCACAATATCTTTCTTCTGTTTGATTGGTTCTGTTGTAGAGACCCTCTGATACATTTGTTATTTCAGCCAATGTATTTCTTAGTTCCAGGATCTCTGTTTGCTTTTTATTGTGTTAATCTCTAATAAACTTCCAAATTGCTTGTTTGCATTATCTTGGATTTTGTTGAGTTTCCTCAATACTCTTATTTTGAATTCTTGATCTGAAAGCTCACATCACCATCTTGCTGGAATCAGACACTGGTTCCCTACTTTGTCCGTTTGGGGAGGTTCCCAGTTTGCTGTCATCATTTCTTATGGATGTAAGTCTATTGATTTGCATTGAATGATTAGTTATTTATTCCAGTATTTGCTTGTCGGGCTGGTTTGGTTTCTCTAACATATGTGTGTTGAAAGGTTCTGTGCAGTCTGCATATTGACACCTTTAGCTCTAGGTCACTCCCTCTTTTTGCCACTAGGTGGCACCTTAACTCAGTATTATCACAGCTCTAGCAAAAATTTGAAGGCCTGCCTGTCCCAAAGGAGTGGGGTCCCAAAGGGAATGTCCCAGCTGTGTGAGGAGACTGGCTAAGGGGTCTTGTCCACATGGCCCATGGAGTGTGCCTCTCACAGAATAATGCTGCTGAACCACCTCTCTGATTTGACATTTTATTTGTCTGAGTTTCATTTCCTGGGGCTACTAGCCCTACCTCCACTGTCTGTCTCCAGCTGCCCTCTCCCTCAGGCACTCGCAAGTCTTCCCACAGATTGAGGCAGGAATGGTTTTCCTGTGTAGGGACCAAAATGAGTGGGAAATGGGCTGTCTGCATCAATCTCTCTTCATCCAGTATGGAAATTGTGAATCCGGGAGACTTCTCTGCATGGTGCCTTACTGTTGGTGGGAGAGGCATTGCAAATAGAGACGTCCATTTCTTCTATCTTCTGCTCATGGTTTTTCACTTCTCTGTGGCTCCAGGATTCATTTCAGACTAAATTGGGAGTTCTGGGATATTGTTGGTGTTAATTTTGGCACTGGATAATTGTTGTTGGTTTTCCATTGGGGACAGTGAAGCCATATTGCTTTTATTCCACCATTTCGGCAATGTCTCTCTTTCTTGATAAATGATAACATATAATACATCATATAGTTTATTGGTATATATATCAAAGGAGTCATGAGTTGAATTTTAATTTGAGTTAGAAAATAATTTGGACATAATAAGTAATTTGAGTTTCTCAGATATTTCAGTACTAATTTTTGTCCTTATTTAAAATATTAATGCATGTTGTAAATAACAATATATGTTCCACAGAGTATCTTATTTGCAGGTATACAATGGTAAACAAGATATGACTACTCCCTCACATCATAAAGTTACAATCTAGGTAATTGTTATGAAAAATCCTATGATAGGAAATGTCTGAACTACTATGTAAGCCCATAAGAAGATCAACTCTCTGAAAAAATAGAAACTATAGAAAGCATGAGAATGTGCAGGCTGCTATCTAGCCAGGGGTGGAGTTGGGACAGGCATCCAGATAATGCTCTCTAGGCAAGTTACTCACCCTAAGAGAAGCAGCATCGGCTCCGAAGAAGGGGTAGCTCTTGTGTTTTGTCTGCTCAGAGGGCACATTCTTCTGTTTTAAATAATACAAAAGCACTGTTAATACTTGATACAGCAGTATCTAAAATATGTCTTAATCTATATGCATAAATATCCTTCTCATAATAAAAAGATTGAATTGTACAAAAAAGATTATTAAAAAGTTGCATGAGGCTAAGTGCAGTGTCTCAGTCCTGTAATCTCAACAGTTTAGGAGTTAAAGATAAGAGAGTCAATAGGGGCCAGAAGCTTGAGACCAGCCTGAGTAGCATAGCAAGACAAAAAAAAATTAAATTAGCCAGGTGTGGTGGTGCACACGTGTAGTTGTAGCTACTTGGGAGGCTGAGGCAGGAGGATTGGTTGAGCCCAGAAGTTCAAGCCTGCAGTGAGCTGCTATGATAGTGCTGTTGCATTCCAGCCAGGGTGACAGAATGAGACCCTGTCTCCAAAAAAATTAAAAACTGTTTTAAAGTTGCATGAATATATATAATTGTATAAAGAAGAACAAATTTCTGGATGTGCTACACTTAATGGAAAACACTAAAGACAAGGAAGATGCTTTCACAAGTATATAATAAGAAGCAGTAGAAGGTAGCTAGAAAAATTCTAACGAGGAAAAAAAAAAGAAGCAGAAAAAGGAAATGTAAAATATTTCTTGGATGTGGGTAATATTTTTATATTAACAAATGATGGAGAAAATGTAGAACTTTTCAATGTCTCAATCTCTCTTTTTTATAGTCATTTTTAACTGTAAAAATGCCTATCATTAACATTTATAATATTAAAAGATTTTTGAAACCCTAGATAAGCCAAGATAGAGTAAAAATAATGTAGCTACTTTCAGTATGTTCAAATTGCTGTAAGCAGATGAATCACATCCTAGATTCCAGAGGATTTCTATAGTCAGAATCAAAGTTTCATTGTTAATAAACTTTGTGAAATATCGATAAATTGATTCGTGGCCATGGTATTTTGATGTAAATCATAGTAGATTTCAGAAACTACAGACTAACAAGTTTGATGTTGATTCCAAGGAAAACCATAGAAATATTTGTAGCCTAGAGCTAAACAGTGGGACTCTCCATTTAGACACATGTGAGTTTGATTTCTGGCTTTGCAATTTAACAGTTCTGTGCCATTATGAAAATTAACTCTGCTTTCTAAACTTTGTTTACCTCATATGCAAAGTGTGTATAATAGTTTCTACTTAATGAGTTGTTTAAAACATTTTTTAAAACTAACACCAGTATGTTTCTCAGAATAAAATTAGCACTCAGAACATGATTTTGTAAATAATAATATTATAGATGACAAAATTAAGTTTTCACTAGCAGTAATGGCCAAAGTTAGCACAGATAGATTTTTCTGGTAGTATGTTGAAGAAAAAAGTGCTTAGATTATGTTCTATCTACTGTAACATTTTAATCAAATACTTGAACTTAGAAATGGCATGCTAATCAAAACATTAAATGATGAAATGTTAGAAACCATGGTTAATATGACTTTTAAAAATTAGTAATTTAAGCAATCTCAAAAAAAATAGGCAAGGGAAAACACAAATTGTTTACCTGTAAGTATGAATCTCTGTATTTGATTAAAAGAACTGATTATGCTGCCTGGGTGAGGTGGCTCACGCCTGTAATCCCAAAACTTCGGGAGGCCGAGGTGGGTGGATCACCTGAGGTCAGGAGTTCGAGACCAGCCTGACCAACATGGAGAAAACCCATTTCTACTGAAAGTACAAAATTAGCCAGCTGTAATGGCACATGCCTGTAATCCCAGCTACTTGGGAGGCTGAGGCAGGAGAATTGCTTGTACCCGGGAGGTGGAGGTTGCGGTGAGCCGAGATTGCACCATTGCCTGGGCAGCAAGAGCAAAACTCCATCTCCAAAAAACAAACAAACAAAAAGAATTGATTACGCTATAAAAGAACAGTAAAAGTTACATTAAGAATAGCAGTTACGTTAAGAATAGCAGGAATGTTTAGTTTATTAGATCCTCAGTATGATTTGACAGTATAATGTAGTTCTACTATAACTTGCATAAGCAAAGGAAAATGAATTAAATAATAATTGTTACAATATTGTATTGCAAAAGACACTATCTCAATAACCTCCTTTGATAAATCATAGGGTGAGAAGAATGCATACATAGTACATTGTCTAGCATGGAGTAGGCGCTTGATGAAAACTTCTTGTCAGCCAGGCATGGTGGCTTATGCCTGTAACCTCAGCATTTGGGAGGCTGTGGTGAGAGGATTGTTTGAGCCCAGGAGATCGAGAATAATCTGGGCAAAATAGTGAGACACCCCCATCTCTGAAAGAAAAAAGATATATAAAAAATAAACAGAAAAAAAACCTTGTTTTCTTCTATTTATCTGTAGAAGGCAAAGATTAAATATATATATGGGCTTAGGAAATAATAATTCTTAACTAGCAAGGTATCATATAGTGAGGAAGAAGTGTAGTTTGACAGAGTAACTTGATTTCTATTTGTAATTTTTTTAAAATTATATATTAAGTTCTGGGATACATGTGCAGAATGTGCAAGTTTGTTACATAGGTATACACGTGCCATGATGGTTTGCTGCACCCATCAACCCGTCATCTATATTAGGTATTTCTCCTAATGCTATCCATCCCCTGGACCCCCACCCACTGACAGGCCCCAGTGTGTGATGTTCCCCTCCTTGTGTCCATGTGTTCTCATTGTTCAACTCCCACTTATGACTGAGAACATTCGGTGTTTGGTTTTCTGTTCCTGTGTTAGTTTGCTGAGAATGATGGTTTCCAGCTTCACCCTGCAAAAGACATGAACTCATCCTTTTATATGGTTGTATAGTATTACATGGTGTATATGGATGTGCCACATTTTCTTTATCCAGTCTATCACTGATGGGCATTTGTGTTGGTTCCAAGTCTTTGCTATTGTGAATAGTGCTGCAATAAACATACGTGTGCATGTCTTTATAATAGAATGATTTATAATCGTTCTATGGGATTTATAATCCTTCTAAATAACGGGATTGCTGAGTCAAATGGTATTTCTGGTTCTAGATCCTTAAGGAATTGTCACATGTCTTCCACAATGGTTGAACTAATTTACACTCCCACTAGTAGTATAAAAGCACTCCTATTTCTGTACATCCTCTCCAGCATCTGTTGTTTCCTGACTTTTTAATGATCGTCATTCTAACTGGAGTGAGTGGTACCTTATTGTGGTTTTGATTTGCATTTCTCTTAGGACCAGTGATGATAAGCTTTTTTTCATATGTTTGTTGGCCACATAAATGTCTTCTTTTGAGAAGTATCTGTTCATATCTTATGCCTACTTTTTGATGGGGTTGTTTGTTTTTTTCTTGTAAATTTGTTTAAGTTCCTTGTAGATTCTGGATACTAGCCCTTTATCAGATGGATAGATTGCAAAAATTTTCTCCCATTCTGTAGGTTGCCTGTTCACTCTGATGAAGTTTCCTTTGCTGTGCAGAAGCTTTTTAGTTTAATTAGATCCCATTGGTCAATGTTGGCTTTTGTTGCCATTGCTTTTGGTGTTTTAGTCATAAAGTCTTTTCCCATGCCTATGTCCTGAATGGTATTGCCTAGGTTTTCTACTAGGGTTTTTATGGTTTTAGGTCTTACGTTGCAGTCTTTAATCCATCTTGAGTTAATTTTTGTATATGGTGTAAGGAAGGGGTCCAGTTTCAGTTTTCTGCATATGGCTAGCCAGTTTTCCCAACAACATTTAATAAATAGGGAATCCTTTCCTCATTGCTTGTTTGTGTCAGGTTTGTCAAAGATAAGATGGCTGTAAATGTGTGGCATTATTTCTGAGGCCTCTTTTCTGTTCCATTGGTCTATATATCTGTTTTGGTGCCAGTACCATGCTGTTTTGGTTACTGTAGCCTTGCAGTATAGTTTGAATCCAGGTAGCATGATGCCTCCAGCTTTGTTCCTTTTGCTTAGGATTGTCTTGGCTATATGGGCTCTTTTTTGGTTCCATGTGAAATTTAAAGTAGTTTTTTTCTAATTCTGTGAAGAAAGTCAATGACAGCTTGATGGGGATAGCATTGAATCTATAAATTACTTTGGCCAGTATGGCCATTTTCATGATATTTATCCTACCTATCCATAAGCATGGAATGTCTTTACATTTGTTTGTGTCCTTTCTTATTTCCTTGAGCAGTGGTTTGTAGTTCTCCTTGAAGAGGTCCTTCACATCCCCTGTAAGTTGTATTTCTAGGTATTTCATTCTGTTTATAGCAATTGTGAATGGGAGTTTACTCATAATTTAGCTGTCTATTATTGGTGTATAGGAATGCTTTTGATTTTTGCACATTTATTTTGTATACTGAGACTTTGCTGAAGCTGCTTATCAGCTTAAGGAGTTTTGGAGCTGAGACAATGAGGTTTTCTAAATATACAATCATGTCATCTGCAAACAGAGACAATTTGACTTCCTCTCTTCCTATTTGAATAGCCTTTATTTCTATCTCTTGCCTGATTGCCCTGGCCAGAACATCCAATGCTATGTTGAATAGGAGTGGTGAGAGAGGGCATCCTTGTCTTGTGCCTGTTTTCAAAGGGAATGCTTCCGGCTTTTGCCCATTCAGTATGATATTGGCTGTAGGTTTGTCATAAACAGCTCTTATTATTTTGAGATACGTTCCATCAATACCTAGTTTATTGAGAGTTTTTAGTATGAATGGCTGTTGAATTTTATCTAAGACCTTTTCTGCATCTGTTGAGATAATCATGTGGTTTTTGTCATTGGTTCTGTTTATGTGATGGATTACGTTTATTGATTTGCATATGTTGAACCAGTCTTGCATCCCAGGGATGAAGCCAACTTGATCGTGGTGGATAAGCATTTTGATATGTTGCTGAGTTTGGTTTGCCAGTGGATTTTATTTTATTGTGGATTTCTGCATCGATATTCATCATTGATATTGGCCTGAAATTTTCTTTTTTTGTTGTGTCTCTGCCAGGTTTTGGTACTTGGATGATGCTGGCCTTATAAAATGAGTGATGCTGGCCTTATAAAATTAGGGAGGAGCCTATCTTTTTCTACTGTTTGGAATAGTTTCAGAAGGAATGGTACCAGCTCCTCTTTGTACCTCTGATAGAAGTCGGCTTTGAATCCCTCTAGTCCTGGGCTTTTTTTTGGTTGGTAGGCTATTAATTACTGCCTTAATTTCATAACTTGTTATTGGTCTGTTCAGAGATTTGACATCTTCCTGGTTTAGTCTTGGGAGGGTGTATGTGTCCAGGAATTTATCCATTCCTTCTACATTTTCTAGTTTATTGGCATAGAGGTGTTTATAATATTCTCTGGTGATAGTTTCTATTTCTGTGGAATCAGTGGTGAGATCATCCTTATCATTTTTTATTGTGTCTATTTGATTCTTCTCTCTTTTCTTCCTTATTAGTCTGGCTAGCAGTCTATCTACTTTGTTAATCTATATAAAAAAAAAAACAGCTCCTGGATTCCTTGATTTTTTGAAAGGTTTCGTGTCTCTATCTCCTTCAGTTCTGCTCTGATATTAGTTATTTCTTGTCTTCTGCTAGCTTTTGAATTAGGAGAATATGGGTTTAAAATGTTAAAAACTATCTTTCTAAGGGACAATACTGGGACCCTTTTGCTAGAATTTGGAGGGGAACACATTTTAATGAGGCACAAACATTCCTAATGTTTCACAGTATTAATGTATAATATGGTGCCACAAAAATAGGAAGTATCAAACACTTAAACATGTAAAGTAACAGGGCTGAACGGTGAGTTGTTGTGGGTCATTTGAAAGAAATAATATAGTGGCTTGACAGTGCAATATTTACTTGCTATTGTCTTTCATTTCGAACATATCTAGGGGGGGAAAACCCAGTTAAAATAAATATTTTTGGAAGATTTTACTGGTTTTGTTTTGTTTTCCGAGACAGAGTCTCGCTCTGTTGACCAGGCTGGTATGTGGTGTCACAATCTCTCGATTCTTGTGCAGGAAAAGTAAATTTTCTGTTGTGAAAGTTAATTTTTAATATTTACATCTGTTAAATTTTTCTCAAGCGACCTGGACTATCAAGAGGAAATGAGTCTACTACCCCACAATGGAGGCAAGGAAGAGTATGCATGGAATACAGGAGATCCATTAGGGCGTCTCTTAGTATTACCATGCCCTGTGATTAAGGTAATGGGAAACTGCAACAGCCCAATCCAGGCAGGACTACAAATGACCAGACCCCACAGGAATGAAGGTTTGGGTCACTCCACCAGCAATAAAACCATGACCTGCTGAAGTGCTTGCTGAAGGCAAAGGGAATACAGAATTGGTAATAGAAGAAGGTAGTCATCAATACCAGTTACAACCATGTGACCAGCTGAAGAAACAAGAACTGTAATTGTCATGAGTAATTCCTCCTTCTTTTCTTAAAAACATGTTTGTGCATGTACACACTTGTGCTAAGAAAATATCTTCATTTTATTTCTTTTCTCCTTTATCAAGTAACATAAGATTTATTGACTTCACATCAGCATTTAAGTACTGTTAACTTTATGTAATAGTATTTGGGTTGGGGATTGGTGCCCTTCTGGTTGTAGAAGGGATAGTTGCATTAAGTTAGGCATAATTATGACCTTATTATTGTCTTTATTTGAAGATTATGTATGATCTCAGGAGATGTGTATGGGCTCAAGTTAACAAGGAGTGGACTTGTGATGGTTAATACTGAGTGTCAACTTGATTGGATTGAAGTATTGATGCTGGGAGTGTCTGTGAGGGTGGTGCCAAAGGAGATTAGCATTTGAGTCAATGGGCTGGAAAAGGCAGACCCACCCTTAATCTGGGTGGGCACAATCTAGTCAGCTGCAGCTGCACAGATAGACTACAAGCAGACAGAAAAAATGTGAATAGGGAGACTGGCCTAGCCTCCCATCCTACATCTCTCTCCTGTGCTGGATTCCTGCCCTCGAACATCAGACTCCAAGTTGTTCAGTTTTTGGAACTCAGACTGGCTTTCCTTGCTCCTCAGCCTGCAGACGGCCTATTGTGGGACCTTGTGATCATGTGAGTTAATACTTAATAAACTCATATATATATATATATATATATATATATATATATATATATATATTCCATTAATTGTATCCCTCTAGAGAACCCTGACTAATACACCAAGGAAAAATAATTTATGCTGTAAAGTCATATAAAGGCTTGATTAAAAAGATAGTTATACTTATTTTTCTGAATGGTCCCTTATTAAAAATATATAATATTTTCCACTAAGTGAAAAATAACTTATGAATATTCTGGTTGGTCACATCTCAATATTGAAATCTAGGAGTAAAAACTGCACAAGTAGAAAACAAGGTAGAGTGTTGGAAATATGTTAATTTAATTTTTTTTATAGTACTGTAAGGAAAACATTAATGACAGGTTTGGGACAAAAAACTGGGTTTTGTCTCTTTACACATGTGATACTAAAACAGCATGAATCTTTCTCTCTCCAAAACAAATAGAAAAGCAAGATGAAATTTACAAAATATAAAATAAAATATAACGAAACCACAAAACATGGCAATATAATACAATATAGTAATAGAATTTAAAGCCAGACTCAAAAGGAGTAAAAATAGGTTCTTGGTTTATCAACTGAAAACTCCCACTTTTATAATTCCAGGACTCTAAAAGAGATAAATTCTTAGGAAAATATTTATTAGCAGTAAGTATCTGGTGACCTATGGAGTTCAAACAGTCTTGTCTATGCCTGGGATGCTTCCTTGAGAAAATAAAATATAATTTGTGAGAAACAAAAACCCCGTCCTCTACTTCACATGGATATGGAGCTCAATTTATACTTTTCAAGAAAGCCATGAGTCATCAAGCCCAGAAATTAATGTAAAATTTGTCCTCAAATAGGAAAATAGCTATAGGAGGAAAGAAACACACCCTTGCTTTCCAATGTTGTGTCTACGACTCAATAGGCAAAGCTTTCATAAGGAAATAATTACTGAGACATTAACTAGAATGTATTTCAAAATGATAAGGTAGTCAACATATAAAAGAAAAAAGAAAATATAATAAGCTTAGAATGGTTTCAAATTTTCAAATGAGAGGATAAAAGAGTATGAAGATGAAATATTCAAAAGATGTAGTTGATAATTCTTCAGGAAAAAATAAAATTTTGGCTCCTCTGCATAGAAAAACTCAACAGGGAGAAGACTATGAAATTGTATTTTCAAAATGCTAAGGAAACATAATTGTTCCTCAAAAATTCTATACCCAGCTAAAGCCTCATTCAAGGGAGAGGATGGTAAAAACTTATTGTGTGTGTGGTAGTTGTGGGACAAAGATTGAGAACCTACCTTCACTAAAGCCAGTATGAAGGAAACCAACAACAAAATGATATACTATCAGTCTTTGTTTCTGTTTTTTTTTTTTTTTTCCATAATATATTCTACATAAGAAGAACACTAGAAACTTTAATTCAGAAGAAAAAAACTTGAAATTTAAGAAGCAACTGTGGCCTGCCATGGTGGCTTACAACTGTAATCACAGAGATTCACGAGGGTGAGGTGAGAGGATCGCTTGAGCCCAAAAGTTCAAGACCAGCTTGGGCAATATAGCAAGATCTCAGTCTCTTAAAATAAAAAGAAAGAAAACCTAAAAGAAGCAATTGTGAGCAAATGTTCGTATGCATGTTGGGTTAAACTAAATAATCATTGATTGGAAATTAATGACTAAAATAAGGTCTAGATTAGAGGAGAGGATTAAGAATAAAGTAAAACTAAAACATTGGGTGATAAAATCACAGTAGTGGCTACAAGGATACACAGATGTAATGCCTAATTTTATTAAAATGTTTTATTTTAAGTTAACTGGTACATGTGCAGGTTTGATATCTAGAGAAACTCACATCACAGGGGTTTGTTGTACAGATTATCTTGTCACTCAGGTATTAAAACTAGTACCCATTGGTTATTTTTCCCTCCTCCCATCCTTCATCCTCAGGTAGGTCCAAGTTTCTCTTGTTCCCCTCTGTGTGTCTGTGTGATCTCATCATTTACCTCCTGCATATAAGTGAGAATATGTGGTATTTGATTTTCTGTTCCTTTGTTATTTTGCTAAGCATAATGACCTCTAGCTCCATCTATGTTCCTGCAACAAAAATGATTTTGTTCTTTTCTACAGCTGCATACTAGTCCATGGTGTATATGTACCATATTTTCTTTATCCAATCTGGCATTGATGGGCATTTAGGTTGATTTCACGTCTTTGCTATTGTGAATAGTGCTGCAATGAACATACATGTTCATGTGTCTTTGTGATAGAACAATTTATATACTGGTGGGTATATACCTAGCAATGATGCCTAAGTTTTTTGTCTAATTCTTGAGGAAAATACATTGTTAAATTAAACTTAACATTTATTGACTCAAGTGTGGATTTTAAAATTTAAAAATGACTACTAAAATATTAACAAGATATTTAAGAAGAAATAATTTTTTAAATTATATACCAGATAACAAAAAGGAGAGAAAGCAAAGCAAACTTGAAAGATAAGAAAACAAAAACTCATCAGTAATCACAATAGATAAAAACTGATTTAACTTATTTGAAATACTGAAATTCCAGAAGTAAAGAATTAAAATTTCACCACATAGTCTTTACGAGAGATCCACATATATCACAGTAATTCAGAAAAGCTGAACTTAAAAGGATGGTTAAATTATTCCATGAATATACTGTTCTGAAAAAAGTCATAATGTTGTATTAATATCAGACAAAAGAGAAATTAATACAGAACATATTATGAATAGTCAGTCACTATATAGATGATAAATGGGGCATCTTATTGGGAGACATAATCAACCTTAATTTTAAGCCCTGAAGAATCATACCCTAAAATTATAGAAAGGAAATATTGACAGAATTTTAAAAATTGACAAATCCATGTAGGGGGAGATTTAAAAACAGTAAATATATCACAAATAATAACTATAACTTAAAATTATACTTATTTATTGAAAAACTCAATAAATAAGTTGTACTTGGCAGACATATATAGATCAAATCCTATATCTCAAAAGAGACAATAGCATTCTAAATTAATCTTAATCTTGGGGAAAGTGAAGTACAAAATATGCAAATAAATCTCAATCCTAATCCCTACTACAATATGTAGTAGTAGACAACCAGTCTATTTAGTAAACCTAGATATGCTTTGTGTTTCTGCATATGACTGTGAGCTCTCTGAGGCGTAGAGTTCTTCACATTCATTTTGTTTTCCTCGATCTTGTTAGCGTATGTCACAGATGATAACATAATAGACACTCAATAGTATACAGTAAATGAATTAATGTGATAAAAATATACATTCAAAGTTTGAAAAATTTTGTCAATTATGCATCTGATAAAGGTCTAATATCCAGCATCTTTATGTATAAGAAACATAAACAAATTTTCAAGAAAAAAACAAACAAACAACTTCATTAAAAAGTGGGCAAACAACAGGAACAGACACTTCAAAAGAAAACATACACGTGGCCACAAGCATTTAAAAAATACCTCAATATCACTGGATCATGAGAGAAATGCAAATCAAAACCACAATGAGATACCGTGTCATACCAGTCAGAATGGTTATTATTTAAAAAGTAAAGAAATAACAGACGTTGGTGAGGTTGCAGGGAAAAGGGAAGGCTTACACAATGTTGGTGGGAGTGTAAATTAGTTCAACCATTGTGGAAAACAGTATGGAGATTCCCCAAAGAGCTAAAAACAGAGCTGCCATTCAACCTACCAATCTCATTACTGGGTATATACCCAAAGGAATATAAATCATTCTACCATAAAGACATATGCATGCATTTCTTCATTGCATCACTATGCATAATAGCAAGAACATTAAGTCAACCACATTCAATCAACCTAAATGCCCACCAATGCCAGATTGGATAAAGAAAATGTCGTACATATACACCATTGAGTACTACACAGCCATAAAAAAGAACGCGATCATGTCCTTTGCAAGAACATGGGTGGAGCTGGAGGCCATTATCCTTAGCAAACTAATGGAGTAACAGAAAACCAAATACTGATAGAGGCCAGAGGCAGCCAAATTCCTAGGTCTATAAGGACGGGTCCCCAGTGAAACCCAACCTCCAAGCCGGAGACAGTCCTAGGTAAGCCCTCAGACAGGATAGTGAACCCGTCTTCCTATTTGGTGTGCTTTTCTCTGATAGATCCCTACCCTTCCCCTATTTTACATATACCTGCTCTTTCCTAATTGGTTTTCCACACTGTTGTGCCCACCTTTGAGTTGTGTCTTTCCTTTAAACTTTTTTGCATACTCACAAAGCAGTCAGCGCACATTCCCTATTCTGAGCCCATAAAAGCCCCAGTCTCAGCCATGTTAAAGGACTTTTACCGACTTCAGGTAGGGGGACTACCTCACATTTCCTCCCCACTGAAAGCTGTTTCATCACTCAAAAAACTTCCCGTCTTGCTCACTCTTTGATGGTCAGCAACCTCATTCTTTTTAGATGCTGGACAGGAACTTGGGAACCGGTGCAAAAGCCAGACTTGGTTAAACGGGTGGCCATCTCCTGCAGCAGGTAGCGTGACAAGTGAGGCCCAGGTGGGACATCGTTGGCTGGGGGTCCCCAGCTTGCAAACTGACCAAGAGAAAAATCCTACATCAATACCACATGTTCTCACTTACAAGTGGGAGCTAAATGATGAGAACACATGGACACAAAGAGGGGAACAATAGACATGGGGGCCTACGTGAGAGTAAAGGGTGGGAGGAGGGAGAGGATCCAAAAAAATATCTGTTGGCTACTAGTCTTAGTACCTGGGTGACAAAATAATTGGTACAACAAACCCCTGTGACACAGGTTTACCTATCTAACAATCCTGCACGTGGACCCTTGAACCTAAAGGTTAAAAAAATTTAATCAATTTTATTATCAAATCAGTTCCTAAAATTGTACCTAAATGAATTTTTAAATGAATACATACTCAAAAGCTGTAAAAGTCAAATATACCCATCTGCCTTATTTGTTTAAAGTTGATTTTGTTAGTTTGTTTTTGTTTTTCAGGGGGTTGAACATAGGAAAGAAGAGTATTCCCCTAAATCTCCTGGGTTATATTTTGAATATACAGAAAATAATATATTCTGTAAGGACAATTGCATTTTTATATTAATAGCAAGTATTTCATCTCTAAATTTAGTCAGTATGCTTTTTGATAAAAAGAAAAACTATTCAAGAGGATAGATGTGAGCCAAAATATAAGAAACATTAAAAATTGTTTGCCATAATCTGACATTAATTTAAATTTAGTATTTGCAAATCAGTTTTTACATATTATTACAAATTTTGTTAGCTATTATGACAAGTCCCCCTGTTTTTGTTTTATTTTTTTCAACATATTTTTATTTGTATCATATTAATTTTAGTGAAAATTAAAATTTTTATTACCTTTTAGAAAGACAACTGTAATGAATGCCAGACCCAGGGTCACCAGTTGAAATCCCAGTCTGACTGATGTAAATACATTGGCTCAGCAAAGTAAACATAAAGACTAAGCCACTAGCCCAGGTATAAACGAGATGGGAGATTTAGTACAAGGCTGACAGGTAGGGTCACTGGCACTTAGCAGTAGCCTATAGATACCAGTCTGGTATCACAAATCAAGATCCAACTAGGAAAATAGATGCTTAGGGATTGACTCAGGGATTTTTAGTCTTTTGAATAATTTTTGAAGCACATAGGGAAGTGAGTTGGTAAGAAGTCATCAGCTCTTTTTGTGACAAAGATGCTTTTTGGAGTACTTCTTTTATTTTTCATTTTCTGTGATTATAACATATTCAAATGAGCTCTTATAAGGCTGATAAATGGTTGCCAATGGTCTTCTACAGAACATTAAAAATTCACATATGCATTTAAATACAATAAATTTCATAAATACATAGCTAGAATATATACATATGGTATGCTGTCTACATCTCTACAGCTATATTAAAATTTGAATTCTCTATAAAATATACAGAATAGAGATGTTTAGATATAAGTATAGACACAGACGGAAAGAGGCAGACGCCTGCATTTTGGAGTAAATACATACTTTCAATTGTGATATGATAGCAAAACCCATTATCTTAAGTAGTATACATTACAAGGCAGTTATAGTTTAAATCAAGAGAATGGACAGATGATATGGGATGGAAGATTATGACATTTGAGTTGGGCTTTAATGGACAGTATTTTTAGAGGATATTGTAGAAATGAAGACACTTATATTCAATATATTGCATGAAAATATACACAAAAGTAGAAAACTTTGAGGGATGTGTTAAGGAACAAAATGAAAGCTAGTTTGACTGTCACATATGGCAAAAGTAGATTGGAGCTGATGACTAGAGAACTTTGTCTGCCTATGGAGTGTGGAGACCCACAGGAGATGAAGACTAGATTAAAAATAAAAGTACCCCATGACACTGTAAAGTGAATGGTTAAAAAAAGAAGAGGAGGATCTAAGTAGGTTGCATGCTTGCACTGTATTCATTTTTAAATAGGAAGGCTTTAGAGTGAGCATGATTGATGACCTAAATAAGAGAATACGTTAGAACTACGCCAAGAATTTTCTGTGGAGTGAGAAGAGAATTGCTAGAAAAGTGGAGCTATCATATTTCATTAAGGTGAGGAAATTAAATGATCATTATAAGGAACAAGTTTGAGGATACATGATTGTTTGCACATGATGAAATGTGTATTACAGCAGAGGAAGGAGCAGAGGAAAACTGAGGGAGGTGAGCTAGGTACAGCAGAGGAAGGAGCAGAGGAAAACTGAGGGAGGTGAGCCATGCCTGAGCCAAAGGACAGAGATGCCTGGAAAGATTTGCATCACAGATGGCAAGTGTACAGCAGGAATAAAGAACACTGGTGAAGAGAAAGGAAGAGGCAACGTGAATGACACAGCCAGGGTGTGGCAGCTACTCTGATGCATGCTTTACTGCCTTTGTCAGGACTGCTCACACCAGCTGTGCAAGTTTGGTTTTATCAACTCAATATCCAAACAAAACAAAGCAAAACAGCTTCAAAATCCTGAACCTCAGAAGCTCAAAAAGGTTAAGGTGTTTTCCAAAGTCACCCACACAGTAATGGGAGGCCAGAGACTCATCCCAGATCTCTCTGGCACCAGCAATGAGGTCCTTTCCGTAGTGAAGTGTGGAAGTGGTTATTCTATGCTGAACCAATAATACCAATTTTAGAAAATAGTATCAGATTTTATTCAACTACTTGGAGTTAACCAACCTAAATTAAGATGGCATAATTACTGTATAAATAGATTTGTAATATATTTTCATTTTCTCTGGTGAAGAAAAACCACCCACATTTTTGAAGGTGATATTTATGTCCCATATTTCTTTTCTTGTTGTTATTAATAACAACATTACAATGATCAGTTTATACTTTACCTGGTTTTCCTTTCCATGATGATATAAATAATCCCAACAATCGATATGAATATCACACTTAATTCAGTAGTATTCAGCTTTGCATTTCAGTAATTATACAAAAAAAAAAGGTCTTTCTAAAAAACTGTAACCTATTCAATGATCATGATAAATCCAATTTGCAAAATGTGTTTTCACTGTGAAAACTAACACAGCATTCTTATTGCTTCACCAAAAGCATGAACTCCTAGAGAGGTGTTTCTTATGCTTCAGTTTGAATCAGAACCACCTGGTGGCTTTGTTGAAAAGCAAATTACTGGGCATGTCCTCTAGAGTTTGATTCACTAAGGCCTGAGCAGGGCCAAAAATTTGCATTTCTAACAAGTTTTCAAGACCCTATCTTGAAGACCACTGCCTTAGAAGGCCACTGTTCATAGATTTGGAATCAGTACAATCAAAAACCAACTTAAAAACTTATCTTTTTTAACCTGAGGTCTATTTTCAGCTTCTCAGCTGGGACTGAAGCTTTTTTCTGAATAAACATAACTCGGTGCTTAGACAAGGTCTTTCTGCTGTTAACAGGATTGCCCTAATGTATTTGGATGCTGTTGTGACAGCTTACAATTTGATTGAACTGTTTGAATAGACCTTTGGGTTAAGTGGACAGGCTGCTTAACACATCAAGGGCACAATCTTTTCTGGTGAGAGCCTCCTTTCCAACAAGGTTCAAATACAACCAGCAGCCAAATTTCTCATTTCTTTGTAAAACTTTGCTAGCCAATCTTTATTGCAGGGATAAGCTTTCCGTTCCAAATTGCAATTTTCTAGCTGTCAAAGGAGAAGTAAACTTTACTGGCATTCAGGGATTGAAGTAAAATAGAATGGGTTGCCTGTTTGCTATATTAGCCTCATCCTGTTTTTTGGGTTTGTAAAATCATGATACAAATAACTTGCTCAAAAGAAAAATGACAAAATATATGTAACATCTACTAGGAGTTCACATATGTGACAGTCACTGGGGATTCATGATATGATTGAGATCTTCTCAGAGATTTTCACCCATGCAGTAACATTATCTCCTTAATTTATATTCAAGATTGGCATCTATGTTGATAGCACAGCTTGGACATAATTGTTTTCACTCTGTTTTGGAAGTACATATAAAAATGCCAAGAACCATAAAATCTTATGGACTTGCACCCTCAAAATCTCAAATGCTATAATTCTGCAAGACTCCTCAGCTCTCCATTTCAATGATAAGATATTAGAAGATAAGCAGAAAGCAAAAAAAAATCTTTTTTACAAAATGCTACAACAATTTTGTAGAGGGACAGTCACTATATGGGTTAAATCTGGCTTGAAAATAAAGTGACTATATAGCTTAATTCAAGGTGAGTTTAAGGAAGGTATTTACCTTGGCTGTATAAATTTGGGGTTCAGGGCAATGGGATTGGTTGGAGGGCTGTAAGTCTTCTGTGAGCAATGACTATTGCCTGTATGAATAAGCCAAACACAACACTGCAGTGAGTCTGCACTGACATTTTACTCCATTGTCTTTTCCCTGATTGGTTATCGGTCTTACAACAGGAAAGACCTGTTGTCCTGATTGGTTGTTGGTCTAACAACAGGAAAGACCTGTTGTCCTGATTGGTTGTTTATCTTACAGCAGGAAAGACCTGTTGTCCTGATTGGTTGTTTATCTTACAGCAGGAAAGACCTGTTGTCCTGATTGTTTGTTCTTACAACAGGAAAGACCTGTTGTTCTGATTAGTTGTTTATCTTACAACAGGAAGGACCTGTTGTCCTGATTGGTTGTTGGTCTTACAACAAGGAAGACCTGGTTGACAGGAAAGTCAACCAAGTGGACAGTAAAGCTGTCCTCACCATGGCTGCGTCTTCAAATTTGGTTTTCATTGGCTAAGCATCTCCATTTGCTCTTGATGGTCAGTCCAACCTCATTCGTGGTGCCTGAAACACCTAAAGTTAGGTAACAAATCAGGTTTGGAGTGAGGAGGGAGAAGGACAATGCTTATATTCACAATTCTTATCAAAAAGCAATGTCCTGTACACTCCTATTTGAAATTCTCTTGTGGAAAAAATTGTAAAGGTCAGGCATCATTTTACCAGGTGTAGACACATAGCTGAGAATCAGAGGCAAAATGCCTTGCTCAAGGTCATGCAATGAGTGACAAGGAGTATAGAAAGTCAAATCCAAGTCTTCCTGGGGTCATGTGGATCTTCTATTTCCCCAGTCTCTCTGCCTAGATTTGTGTGGGTGTGTGTGTGTGTGTGTGTGTGTGTGTGTGTGTGTGTTGTCTTCGTTTATATTTGGGATACAAATGCAATTGTGCTACAATTACAAATTACATTGCGGTAAACTCAGGGCCTTCAGTGCATTCATCACTGAGCAATGCACATTGTACCCACCAAGCAGCCTTCCATCATCCATCACCCTGCCAAGCTCCCGCACTCTGAGTCTCCATTGTCCATCATTCCACACACTGCTTCTATGTGTACACATTATTTAGCTCCCATGTATACATGTGAGTACATGCAGTGTTTTTTGTGTGTGTCTGAGTTGTTTCACCTAAGGTAATGGCCTCAGTTCTACCCATGTTGCTGCAAAAGACACAGTTTTACTCCTTTTTATGGCTGAATAATACTATTTCATTGTATATATATGCATCACATATTGTTTATCCAGTTTCACGTTGATGGGCACTTATGTTATTGATTCAATATATTTGCTGTTGTGCATAGTGCTGTGTTAAACATACAAGCACAGGTATCTTTTTGCTACAATAATTTATTTTCCTTTGGAGATATACTCAGTAGTGGCATTGGTGGATCATATGATGGTTCTATTTCTATTTCTTTGAGAAATCCCATTTTTTTATAGAGTTTGTACTAATTTACATTCCCACAAACCGTATATAACAGTTTTCTTTTCTCTGCATCCTCTCCAGTATCTGTTATTTTTTGTCTCTTATTAATAGCCATTCTTACTGGTATAAGGTGATGTCTTTTGTGATTTTCATTTGAATTTTTCTGATGATGTGTGATATTGAACATTTTTTAATATACTTGTTGGTCATTTGAAAAATGTCTATTAATGTCCTTAGCCTGCCTTTTAATGAGATTATTTGGAGGTTTTTGTTGAGTTGTTTGAGTTTCTTGTAAATTCTGGGAATTAGTTCCCTGTCAGATATATAGTTTGTAAATATTTTCTTCCATTCCACAGGTTGTCTGTTCACAGTTGATTATATATTTTGCTGTGGTGAGCTTTTTAGTTTAATTAAATCCCATTTGTCTATTTTTGGTGTTTTTTTGTGCCTGTTCTTTTGAGGTCTTAGTCATAAATTCTTTGTCTACACCAATGGTTAGAAGAGTTTTTTCTAGATTTTCTTCTAGTGTTTTTATAGTTTTAGTCTTAAATTTAAGTCTTTAATCTATCTTGAGTTGGTTTCTGTATATGGTGAGAGCAGAGTTCCAGTTCCATTCATCTGCCTATGTCTGACTAAGATTAGAAGAAACTGTTTGTCTTTATGGAGGTCAAGCCTGAATCAACTGATTAGGACCATTAGAAGAAACTGTTTGTCTTTATGGAGGTCAAGCCTGAATCAACTGATTAGGACCATTACAGTTCCATTACAAAACAAAAAGGATTGTACCACTTCCAAATACATTTCAACAGAGTAGTTAAAGTACATGCTGTAGAAATTTTGTAACAGATTTTCCACCATTACACTACTGTTAGGGGACAGGAATAATAATCTTGCTTTCCTGGTTACGGTGAGACCATTCTATCATGCAACATACACTTGTCAGAGAGTATGGTGGGCAGAAAAGCATGTCATTCTCCCTCTGACTTAGACCCTACCTAGAAGTAGTGTAGAAACAATGCAGAACCATGTACCACCACACCAGCCACATGTATGATTAATAAAGCAACCAACTAAAGAATGAAATAAGTGTCAAGTTTTCTGGCTGCTCTCTTAAGAACAAAAGAGATGCTGCATTCCTGGACTTGGCATCCTGAGGAATAAACAGCTGAAAAGTTTCCTGCTTCTCCAGGTGGAGGTGAAGAAGTTTAAAAAGGAGCATGCAAAGCCATGAAACCCCTACCTGGCCTTTTACTGCATAATCAGGAGGAAAAGGGAGTCACAGAATGCCAGCATCCCCACATCCCAACACTCATGGATGGCCACTCTCCTTCAATTCTCTAGGTATAATGTTTTCCTGTTTCTGTCAACCACCACAAAAAATCCAGACTGTTAGATTACCCCTCATGGCCTGGCAACAGGAAACGGGGCCAAAAACATAAAAGGCAGCCAATAAAACAAGTTTTAAGAGAAAGATGAGAAAGTCACTTTTGGACCTCTTATTAAGAATCCAAGTGGAGGCTTCTAGGAGGAAATCTAGAAATCGTTCATATGTGATTAGAATGTGGAAGAGAGATCTCAATAGAAATAAGAATTTGAGAACAATCAGATGATGGTTTATTCTATGAAACAGGATGAAGTTACCAAGAGTGTGAGTGCACCAGGAGAAGAGAAGAGCAAAGTCTGAGCCTGGAGACTTCAATATTAAGAAATCAGGAGGAAGAAAAGAAACGAGCAAAAGAATCTGAAAGGTAGGCAAAGTAGATGATTAACAGATCTCCGTGCTTCTGCACTTGACTCTTATTGTCTGTGCCCAGCATGATCAGAGGGATTCTTATACATAATAGCCCAGATCACAGCTCTTCTGTGCTCCCACACTTTCACCATTAGCCCCTTGCCCAGAGTGAAAGCAGAATGCAGGTGATGGTCTGCTCAACCATCATGGCCTGATTCCACCCTCTGACCTGCTCTCACCTTGACTTCCTGGATGTTCCTTCAACATACTTGTCACATTTGATACTGGTGCTTCTTTTCCAGCTTTTTCTTCTTCTTACTGAAAAGTTCTCCTCCTAAACATATGATGGGCTGTTTCTACCTCTTTTAAGTCTTTGCTCCAGTCACTTTCTGAAAAAGGTCTGCCCTGGCCTCTTTGTTTAATATGGCAAGGTGTCTCCCTTCCAGTGGCCCCCAGCCTCTAATTTCCCCTTTATTTTTCTCTTTATTTATTTTTTCATTGCATGTATCACCTCTTAACATGATACAGTCTCCACCTATTTTTTAATTTTTGAGACACAGTTTTACTCTTGTTGCCCGGGCCAGAGTGCAATGGCACAATCTCGGCTCACCACAACCTCCGCCTCCCAGGTTCAAGCGATTCTCCTGCCTCAGCCTCCCTAGTAGCTAGGATTACAGGCATGCACCATTATGCCTGGCTGATTTTGTATTTTTAATAGAGATGGGGTTTCTCCATGTTGGTCAGGCTGGTCTTGCACTCTCGACCTCAGGTGATCCGCCCGCCTCAGCCTCCCTAAGTGCTGGGATGACAGGCATGAGCTACTGCACCTGGTCAACCTATTTTTATTGCTTATTATTGGTCTCCCCTCATGAAAAATATAAGTACCTTAAGACAGAGAGAAGGACTTGGTGTTTCTGCACCTTGATGTGTCTATCCTAGTTGCCTTGAAAAGTGGTCTTCTGATTTGGGGGCTTTGGGACTCACTTAAGTCACATTCTTTCAGAATATTTATCCAGTACAAATTGTGATGTTGGGTGGTAATGTGTAACAAGATAATATGTGAGAAGCAGATAAAAGACTTCTTGATCCAGAGTTGATACCCAATACAGATTATTTCTTTCATCTTCCTGTTTCCTGGCAAAGAGCTTATAAGTATAATGTTATATAACATTATACTTCTGATTATTTCACTGAATGCAAACTTCAGGTCACTTTGTTATAATTCAATATCGTCTCTTCAAGAGATGCACTTTGTGGCCTTACTAGAGTAATACAGTCACAGGCATAGACGCACACATGTACTCTACACTTAACATTACACTACCCTCTTCATAGGATTGTAGAGGATTGTAGAATGAGGTAAGGCTCCTCACACGTGGGCATTAGCTGCGGGGGTCTGCCCTCAGACCCTGACCCAAACGACGTATGAATAAAGCATAGACTGACACACAGATATTCTGTTTTGCCAGTCCAGCTGAGTGTCCAACTGCCTGCACACCAAGAGAGGTTTGTCACTATGGCCGGCCCTGAGCAGCTCACACTCCAGGCATTTATTTAGTGTACAATCAACAACAGAAGTTTTGAGTAAACACACTTATGGATAATTAACATGGTTAAGAGAGTAGTTCTACGAATGATTAAAGTTCAGGTACCAAGGTCTAAAGTAAATACCATTGGGGGCAATATCCCTAGTTGACCTCCCTCCAAGAGGGCCATCTGGCTCAAAGGTTAGTTAATGGAAGTAGGGGAAACAGACTTAACTGGGGAAGCCTCTATTGTCCCTAATATTTACCTTATGACCTAATGCTCTGAGGTAAGAACCGGCTGCCTTCAGCCTGTTCAATTATTACAAGCTATGTAACCTTTCAGCCTTCCAAAAGATTTGTGACTATTTTCTATAATTTTCCTAATATTTCCCTTAATATTTCTGCCACCATCCTGAGTGCATCCCAACAGTAGAACATACATTTTTAATCATTATTCTCCCTAGAACCATAACTTGCACAAAATAGGCCATGAGTAAATTAATGTTAACATTTATTAATGCCTCATCTGTCTATGAGGAAACTCAATTTGTTTATAGTATTTGTTGATAATTCAGTAACTTCAGATTTTCTCGATGTTTGACTCTTTAGAGCAGAGATACAGAGCATTAGCTAAATTAAAAATTAATTTAAAAGCACTATAGTATGTTGGAAGAATTAATGCAGCTTCAAATAGCATACACTTGGGCTACATATTTACATATATTGTAGAGTAGCAATGCAATTAAAACTTTTGGCCAAATCATTAAATGCTGTGAAACAATATCTATCATCAATGCCAAAAATTGAAGTACTTGTATTTCTGAATTATTGATACTAGTTACTATTAATTGAATTACTCTCCATAGAATTACCTGGGGGGTATATGTTACAAATTCAGAATTCCACGTTCCAACACAGGTTTATCAAGTCAGAGTCTCTGAATGTAGAGTCAAGGAAACTGGATGGTAAACAAGCTCCTGTGGTAATACATTAGTCACTGTACTGTAAGAGAATGGACTAAGAATATTCTGAGAGAATCCATCTTTTCGAGAGAAATAAAAACAATTCAAAATTCTTGGCTTGAGTGTGTTACTGTTTGGGGATCATGATTTGAGAGCTAAGTTTTGAGAAGTCTGAATTTATACTTGTATCCAATCATTATTTTTAGAAGAAAAGAAAAATAAAAAACAAGATAATATTCCTGGGTTTTATTTGGCTGCTTTTCAAATTCACTTGATGTTAATTCATGTGAAGCTGTTTAAAATCAAAAAGTATTATTGTGATTCACAGATTTCCTTCCAATTTCTAAACGTAAGCTCTCTTTTTCCTTGATATTTAATTTTCAGATACTCTAGAAAGAACAAAAATAATTCTCACAATATTAGAATTCTGCCTTCTAAACAACATCAGGCAAGCCAACCTTAAAATCTGATCTCTAACACAAATAATTCCATTCATGTAGAACCCGTTCTTGAGTCCTCTTTCTCGACTAATTTAGTACAAATATCACATTTCATAAATACATGTTGACTCCTTCATATTCAACATAGTAGATCCACTACATTCCTCATCCACGGTTCTCTGGTGTCTAGTCTAACAACTGTCAACAAAATAAATAAGATTTGTGGGTGAGACCTTGCTCAGATCATATCTGTACTGGTTTCTTTGGCTGGCTCTCTGCTTTAATTTCAGATCACTGTTTTCAAAAGAACATCGTTTCTTCTTCTTTTTTCTCTAATTTATATAAGGTTGCAATGATATTTTATTTAACATATTATACATTTTATCTTCTTTCCTCTTTGGAAAATCAAAACTTTATTGTTGCTTTAAAAGCATGATATAAAACATTGCCTAGTCCATTATATCTATGTAGTGTTATGTCTGTATGTAAACTGTGAAAACTCATCAAGTTGTATACTTATGACTAGTGCACTGTTGTGTATATATGGTGTACTTCACAAATTAAATGCCTACTCTTAATATTAATCAAAGTGTCTCATTAATAATGAATGTTTCAAATGAGGAATTTTTAATTATTTATTTAAAAGGTGCTGCTTTGCTGATAAAGTTGCAAATCTAAAATACATTTGTGAGTCTTAAATCATATGTGAAAGCCTCTGATACATTATTTTTAAAATGGGTTAGCCAATAATGCTGCTCTTAGAAATAGTCTTAAATTATGACATATGTTAACACCATTCTCCATTTATAATTTAACATCAGCTGATAACTACATAAATAACAGTTCTTATAGAATATTGAAAAATTGCATATATGTGCTTCTATGTGTATCCATGTGTGTATGTAAGAACAGCAAGTTACCTGTTACTTTAACATCAATATATTATTAGGCTGACATCAGTTAAAAGTTAAATGAAATTAAACTTATTTAATAGTTGTCTTCAAATGGGTCATGATGTGCTGAAAGTTACTGGCTTTATTCTGTGTACGTTCTTTGTCTATGTTTTTTAAAATTTCCAATTTTCTTACTCCCCTTGACCTAGTTGACAAATGCTTTCTTTTCACTTCAGGATAAGCTATTAGATGATTAAAAAAAAATAAAGCTTCTACATTACAGGATTAGGCAAATTCTTATGCAAGATTAATTGCAGTTATTGTCATCAAATATCACATCTGACACGTCCCAGAGCTGGCTCTCTGAATTTAATGAGAATAGTGCTCTCGTCCTTTATTGTCATTCATCATGTATTCCATTTTTTTTTAATATGCTACCATATTTATTGTTTCACTGTGACTGAGTATGATAGCATGGATAATTTATTTTGGAATCTCAACAAAAGTTATAATGATAGAAATGGAGAATGTTTTCTGTCTAAAAATGTGTCTAACAATAAATAAGATGTAACCATGTAAGTGCAATGGAATGTTCTGTCCCAAACCGGAGCAACCTGAAGGCACTTCTCTATAGGAGGCATTTGTCTATGACGAGCATTGCATGTCAGTGCAAATCAGGCCAGTTCCCACCACAGCGGGAATTAACCTGCAGGAAGCTTGTAGGCACCAGAATATTTCTGTTCAATTCAGTGTGTGTGTGTGCTGTATTTCTGTACATTCTCTCAAGTGGAAAGAAAAATATTTCCTCTGTATTTCTTTTTCCACACTTCTATAGCTTCCAGAATCAGCTGGGTTCTGGTAGTAGTGGTGAAAAAACTTATTTTTTCTTCAGAATGAACATAGTCTTTCAATTTTTATTGTTGTAATTAGAAGTAAAATCCTGACAGACTCATCGTAGCAGTTTACTTTCATACCTGTTATTCCTTCTTCATTTGCTCTTTAGATTTTTTCTTAGTCAACACTGTAAACATTCAAAGATGATAACTGTCCAGTAGCCACAGTACAAAGAAAGCCATTCGAACAGACTTTTCATATGTTTGTGGGGAAGTCAGTAGAGGGTAAGTCATGGCAGAAATGAGGGCAAAACAATTTTTAAAGAAGTAGGGGGAATACGTAAGGGGAGAAGATCTCCTGTTAAGTTTTTGTTGGGTCATTCACAGCCTGAGCAGGAAGGATGCAGCCTGCGCTTAGTCTATCTGGAGAAGTCAAAACCTATTTATTAGATTTCTGTCACTGATGTAACATGACCACAAACTTAGGGGCTTAGCACACACTACTTTATTATATCACACTTAGGGAGATCAGAAGCGCTGAATGGGTTTCACGGGGCTAAAATCAAGGTGTCAACCGGGCTGCATCCCTTCCTGGGGGCTCTCAGGGAAAGTTCGAACCCTTCCTTTTCCTGATTCTAGAGGCTTCCATGATTCCTTGGCTTGTGACTCCCTTCCATCTTCAAAGCCAGCAACAGCGAGCCATATTTTCTCACATCATGCTGCTCTGACTCAAACACTTTCTTCTCTGTCTTCCACTTTTTAAAAAATGATCACGTTGGGCCCAGCATCAAATCATTATGAGAATAATTTTCATCTCAGAAAGTCAGGTGATTAGCAAGCTTAATCCCTTCTGCAACCTTAATCCCTTTTTTGTCATGTAAAATAACATTTTCACAGGACATTGACCTCTTTGGTGAGCCTTCATGCCAGGTATCACATCATATTGGCAACAGTAGTGCCCTCTAAATGTAATCATACCTACACATGAATTTTTGTGTTACCCCTATTACATTTAATACTGACAGGAGTGCTGCTTAGACTTGGCCAGGTTGGTGTGTGGATATATGTTTCACCTTCTCATTCTCTCTTACCAAACATTCTTTTTGAGCTCTGGGGACACAAAACTGCTATAAATAAACACTGGAATCTCATTAACAGACCACAAATGCTTGAGAGGCTCTTAAAAAACGTTCTAGTTAAATTTCTGATTATCTTACATCTCATCTTAGCATTTATGCTAGGATTTGCATGGATATCACAACTTTCAAACTTTCTGCTGCAGAAAGTGACATGTTCCCATATATTACACAATTTGAATTTTTTGAACATATTATGCTTTTCCAAGTTGTTTTTTTTTTTTTATTTTGCAGTTTACTTGCCCACTTTCTTTCAGAGCTTATTGTTTTTCTATTAAGCCCATGGGAGATGATTAGTAAAAAAATAAATTTGAGGAACCCTTTTACTCATTTATTTTTGCAGAAGACAAAGTCAACCCTTTATGGCATTTACAAGTATATTTAAACCCACTTAGTCAATAATGGCATGTGTGTGGGAGCATCTTGGATAGCGATGTCCATTAATATAGCCAGAGGGCAAATACTAAAGCAAATATAAAGATGTGGCAGCCACATGCTTCTTCCAGAGTACAAAACACCATCACTAGGTCTACATTCACAGGTATGCAAATATACGATAAATAAGAGGTTACTGTATTTTGCATTAAAATCTTTTTTTTTTTTTTTTTTTTTTTTTTTTTTCTGAGACGGAGTCTTGCTCTGTCGCCCAGACTAGAGTGCAGTGCTGCGATCTCGGCTCACTGCAAGCTCCGCCTCCCGGGTTCACGCCATTCTCCTGCCTCAGCCTCCCGAGTAGCTGGGACTACAGGCGCCCGCAACCACTCCCGGCTAATTTTTTGCATTTTTAGTAGAGACGGGGTTTCACCGTGTTAGCCAAGATGGTCTCGATCTCCTGACCTCGTGATCCACCCGCCTTGGCCTCCCAAAGTGCTGGGATTACAGGTGTGAGCTACCGCGCCCGGCCTTCACACTAAAAATCTTATTCAAGGGTATAGACCTCTAAAACATGTTTTCAAAAAGCACTTTTCGTAGGACACATTTTTCCCTCTGTATCCTATGATGGCTTTGGTCAATCACCATTTTGAGAAAGCATTGCTAAATTGTTACTTAATGGAGAGCCCCTGAAATACATGATTGTACAAATTATTCCTGAGGCAGTTTTCTTAGTCTTTTTCTGAACAAAAATCTTTTATAGTTTTTACTCTCATAATGAATCTATAATCTTCATCTGAAATTATATAATGAAATCAGACACATCAGACCATTTGGAAAGTTATATATGTATATCACATATTATGTAAATTTCAAATTATTCTTTATGTAATATTATTTTATTTTAATAACTTATTCCATGTTTACCAAAAGAATAATTTTAATTATAGGTTTTTGAAACTTTTTATTCTTTTAAATTTATTCATGAATCAACTTATTAAAAAAAATCTCAAAGCAATCCACAGTATAATTAAAAATTCCTAACATCCCATGTGGCATAGAAATATAGAAAATATACAATTGATCACTTTAAGAACCAAATGGATTTTTTTCATTTTTTCAGGTTATTATAAGTAAAAATCTTTCACTTTATGGAATATTATTTGTCAAATATTGACAGCCCACTTTCTTTCATAGCTTATCGTTTTGGTGTTGAGACACCAAACACATGAGTGAAATCATTTGAAATTACATGAAAGATTATGATCTATAGTTTTGGTCATTATGACTACACCTAAGACATCTTTGTATAAAAATTGTCTATTTCAGTCGAGTTTAATAACATCTAGTAAGCATAAGCTCAAATTAAATGGAAAGATAAGAATACTTTTATAAGAAGAATGAGGGTTGCTTTCACAAATCCATATCCAGCCTTTTAAGTATTAAGAATTTGTTTAAACAAAGACAAGTTTTCAATAATATTTCATTTGGGAAAGATATATTTCAGAAATGCAATTTTGAGTATACATTTACTAGAAATTTACTAATACATCTTTCCTAAAATGTTTTCTACATATACATACAAAATCCAACATAAAATGAGTATGTTAAATTATCTCATTAAGATCATCAAAAAATTTTGAATTCTTTGTAGTGTTCTAGGATCAAGGTCAGAACTTCTCAATGTGTTCCTCGGACTGGCTAGCTTTCTACACACTTTTAGTTAACATTCTGTGATAAGATGAAGAACTCTGCCAGAATATAAATTCATTTGTCATTAAACATCCTTCTGGTAGAATGTGATTCTAAAGATTGAGGCAAAAATACTTCTCATCACAAGTGGTGCTTCCTAATGTGACTTTGCCACTTCCCTATGAAAAGGTAGTCTTTTTTTCCCCTCCCCTTGTATCTGCACTGGCCTTATGGTCTGTTTAGACCCAGTTCGAGACCAGCCTGACCAACATGGAGAAACCCTGTCTCTACTAAAAATACAAAAAGTTATCTGGGCATTGTGGCGCATGCCTGTAATCCCAGCTACTCGGGAGGCTGAGGCAGGAGAATCGCTTGAACCTGGGAGGCAGAGGTTGTGGTGAGTCGAGATCGCGCCATTGTACTCCAGCCTGGGCAACAAGAGTGAAACTCCATCTCAAAAATCAAAAAAAAAAAAAAAAAAAGAAAAGAAAAGAAAGTAGTAGAATCTATTTTGTGTGACAACTAAGTCCAGGAAAAAAATCTGAAACTTTCAACTTCTCGTTTTGAAAAGGCCCTTTACTGAAGCAGCTGGCATTTAAAAAGTCTGAATGCCCTAGACTACCACACTGTGAAACTTGAGGCCAATGTAGGCTGGGGGCAGTGAGAAAGAGGAGAGGAGGCAAGGGAAGGGAAAGGTAAAAGGAGACTTTGTAGAGAAGCAGTGAAGCACCAACTGCATGAGTGAAGTTGTTTCTTGGATCTTCCAAATCCAGCTAAATGTACTCCAGTAGATAATCTAAGCCAAGCCCATGTGGACTAGAACAACCAGTGAGAGTAGCTTGCTTTCAGTCCTGGACCACAGATAATGAGCAGATAAATGGTCATTGTTTTAGTGCAAGCTTCTTATGTCATTGCAAAAACGATTTGCTCCAGAACAAGTGTTCAAAAAGGTTTTCTGAAAGTTTTCTGAAGAGTCATATAGTAACTATTTTAGGCTTTGCAAACCTTGTCATCTCTGTCACTCTGTGAAAGCAGCCATTAACGAAACACAACACATGGGCATGATTGTGTTTCTATAAAGCTAGATTTACAGAAAAATGTGGTGACTGAACTTGGTCTACAGATCGTAGATTGTGGATCCTGTTTCAGATCGTGTTTCAACTATCTCTGCATCTATTAATATTATATCATCTATCATCTATCTGTATCTATATATCTGCATTTATGGAATATTTGATATTACATATCAAATGTAAATGAAAGTCAATTTTTTCATACATTGCTGAGGGGATTTAAAGAACTGTGTTTTAATTCTCTGTTTTTTCAACTTTTGTGCTCATAAGTACTTAAATACTTATTGAAACTTCATGTCTTTTATTAGCATAGTCAGAAGTCATGAAGGCATGTAGGCAAAGAATAAAATGCTTATGGCCTTGATGGTTTGTAATATTTGCTTCGAGTTTTTTGGATATAGAACATGACTATTCAGAAAATGAATGTAACTAAAGCCCAAGTGTGAACTCTGTATAGCCAAACACTATGTCATATAGGTATCTGTCATTTATAATATATAATCCTTTCTTAAGTTTAAAATAGGTGTGTGTATATCTTTATGTATGTGTGTGCAAAAATACCCATTTAATTCAATATGGCACTTAGTTTCAAAGCAGAAACTATGAGATTTATTAAAGAAATGTCTTCCTTCTACTAGCTTTTTAATTTCTCTTTATTTCTCTAAGAATTCTCTGTTTAATTAAAAATACAAATTTGCTTCTGGGGGAAAGGCAATTAGAAAAAAAATTTTTAAAATTAGATAAAATGTTTACATAAGAGGGAATTTACAGAAAATTCTACCAACAATATGTGACATAGTGACCATGAAAACGTTATGAAAGCCTCTAGAATCAAATCCAGTGAAGCCCAAAAATCATAAAGCAGTAGAGGAAAAGTGGAACAGGAAAATGAGGACACGCCAGTTCTTGTTTCAACTTGTTTGGTTTCAGAAATTTTGTATTAGTTACTGTAGATAACTCTAAGAAACATACCATTTTAGATATTTGTCGATTAACCACCACTTTCTAATTACTAATCATTTGCCCGGGGTTGTTATGTACACAAAACATAATATAAATAGGTTTTAATACCCTTTAGAAAGTAGAGTTTTTAAGAAAGGGGAGCATGAGATAGACAGTGATGGTGCTAGATCCTTCATAGGAATATAAAGGGGAGGAAATAAATATGAAGATCATACAGATGACAACGGAAAAAGAGCCAGGTGCTGAAAAAGTGCCTGGGTTTTCCTAGTGATAACTCTGGACCTGAGTCAAGAGGGAGGTTTTTATGTAAAACAAATGTAACAAATGAATGTCAGCTCTGACTTTATTTTAAGAACACGCACTACTTCTCTAGTTATAGAGTTTTTGTGTTGTTAACTCCAAACGAATCAAACATGCCATGTATTATCATTTACTTTGGTATTTAAGTATACAAAACTTTACTTTTTATTTAAGTTTGTGTATGAAACTACAGAATATAATTGTTTACATTTCTATTTCTGGCACTAGAGGAAATTAAAATCCCTGATTGAGATTCCTGATGAAAACAATGAAAAATGATAAAGTTTTAAAAAGTATTTTAAATATATTTAATAACTAATATTTTTAAATATTTTAAATATTTTTAGCTGCAATAGCTAATTGTTGATGCCCCACCCATATCCCCTAGGCTCTCACCATTCCAGCCATGCTTTGCTGTATTATAGCATAATATGCGACTTTCGCCCTTTGCTTCCTCTTCCCAGGAGGCAGGCCCTTTCCAAGGAGCAGCCCTCAGCCAATGACAGCTGATGGCTAATAATTAGAGATCAATGCCTCAGCTTCCTCGCCCCAAGGGAAGGCAAGGCAACTCAGAGGCGTGCTCTTCAGTGTTTCCCAGACTTCACCAGGGAGATGGAATCTCCGTGGCCCACAGTGAAAGCTCGCTCACCAGGGCAAAGCACATCACCTTTTATAGAGTTCCTTCTGTGCCTTGACTCACTTTCCTGCTGTTTTCCTGGGATCCAAATAAACTACGTGAAATCAAATCTTTGCCTCACTCTTCTTGGGAGGGGCAGGGGAAGGACCAAACAAACACAGCTGGCAAGACAGTAAGTTATACTTACTTTCATTTAAGTGAAAGCAGAAAATCACAGTGGTAAGGTCGCTATGCTGATGAGAGCAGTGTCTGAACCCTGGTGAATGTGAACCTCAGTTTTTAGTACATACTTTGATCTGGAAAACAGATGACATAGACGAAAACTATTTCTTTGGAGAGCAATTATCATGTGATCTTGGTCTGGTCATGTTAGCTTCTTCAATCTGTTAAATAATCTAAAAATGTGATTTCTAAGGTATCCTCCAACTTTCATAGTCATTCTATCACTTGTCTGGAGGGCCACGCTATGGCTGACTATCAAGGATTAGCATTAGAAGCCATCGATTCTGACTTCTACTAGAATAGAACCCATACTTGAATGAGGATGGGTGATAGGGGCAAGAGCTGTTCTATTAGAAAAGTAAAAGTTCCTCTGGTCAGAAAGCCTCAAATATCAGAATGTATATATATATATATATATATATATATATTTTTTTTTTTTTAAGAAAATTAGACTCAAATAACTAATTATTAATAGATATTATAAATCTTTATAATTTTGGTTTAAAAATGATATATCTAGACTTAAATGGAAAAA
Source organism: Homo sapiens (assembly GCF_000001405.40). Classification (NCBI taxonomy): domain Eukaryota; kingdom Metazoa; phylum Chordata; class Mammalia; order Primates; family Hominidae; genus Homo; species Homo sapiens. The sequence goes on along the minus strand of NC_000004.12, from coordinate 179,275,964 downwards.
ATTATCTTCCTAATACTATGCTATATTTTTTTGTTATCTATCTTAAAATAATGCAGGGATCAACATTACCTTGCCAATGTAGGTACTTGGCCTCTTTTTTTTCTAACATCTTCACTAACTACTTCACTACTAGGTCTAAGTATTTTCTTATTCTGTCTATGTGAATAAAATTAATTGAATCTCTCAGCTTCTACTCTGGGTTCCTTTACATTCATTCTCTATTCTCCACATTACACATTATCCATCGTAAAATGATAGTCGCCTTTGAAAATTATAAATTAGCAAATATCTCCCACCCCTCATTGTATTCCCTAAGAGCTTCACATGCCATGTAGAAAAAAATCCAAACCCCATAGCAAAATATTCAAGGGGCCACGTGACCAGATCCCTGCTTCTTCATAATCCATCCCCATCAGCTATTCTCCGGGCTGACTACAATCCTTCCACCTTCTTTCCATCTCTGTGAATGACGAGACATAATTTTATTTGGGCCTGTGTATTTACTGATCCTTCTGTTTGGGAAAATATTTATCTCATGTTTGCATGGCTTTCTCCATCTGGACATTTGTTTTGCAGCTCAAATATCTTCTTCTCCGGGTAATGTATCCTGCTATTTCAATATTACATCATCCTATTTTACTTTCACATAAGTTAAGATTGTTTGACATTATTTAATTATGAGTTTATTCACTCTTTAGTAACTGCTTCTTTCATTAGGACTGTATGATCTATGTGATCAATTCACCTACCAGTATAGGACAGGTGCTCCAAACTCTAATGAATGAGTGAGTGAATGAATGAATGAGTCAGTGAGCTGATGTTAGACTTCAGAATTACAACCTTAAATATAGTTAACTAATATATAACAAAGCTAAAAGTAAATGTATTTGTTTTCATAGATTTTACAATTAAAATAAAATTTGCATTAAGATTCTTGGATAATACAGTGATATTAATATTATTTTACCCAAGAGGAAAGTGAAAATTGGATTTACTGACATGTACGATTTCACTCATCTAGAAAAAGCAGATCTGGAACTTACAAAGATTTCTTAGCAATAACAAATTTAAACCAACCACAATCACAACCGTAAGAAACTCCCTCATTTCCTAGGGGCACACTCTATATCAAATACTTAATGTGCCCATACCCAGTTATTTCTCAGTTAATATCTGAACTTCAACCTAGCAAACTCCAACTAGGGGTAATAGTGAGGCTAAGCCCTACCACTAACCTAATATTTTAATAACCCTTAAAGGAACTACTAAGAATAAGGCAAAACTTAATCACGGAACAGCCTGCTTTATAACCAGTTCCCTCATTCCACTGGATAGTATTCCTAAAATTTGTGTCATTTTCATTATAATCACACATATCTGCCCCGCATCTTCTCCAAATACAAAATGAGAATAAGTAAGGGAATGCAGTTATAGATTTTCTTGAGTTTTATCCCATAACATTCTTGCCAAGTAAAAGTCAATATGGCAGGGATAGAATACAGATCACCTCCTCTTATTTACTCATTTAATTGTGTGTCTCATGAAAGGAAAGGGATTGTGTCACCTCAATAGCTTATGCTTTAAGTCAGACTTTGAGAAGCAACATGAGAAATTAAAAATTTATTCCTCTTTTTCTATAATAATAAAAATAAAAAACACATCAGAAAAACAAACTTATCCATCCATTGTTGGAGACCACCTTATCATTTTCTGAACCATTCTTATCCACCAATAAAATGATGTAGATTCACAATTTGTTTATGGAGTTGAATGATTGGCTTCATTTAATATGTTTAATATTAACATTGTTAGTATTAATGTCAGCTTGGTGACTATGTAACTAAATTTTTGTATATTTTATTAAGGGATTTCCTAGAGAATGCATATTTGTGACAAAATCTTTTTAGTGAACAACAGAAGGATACCAAGAATTGATGAGTGGTACCTATACTCTCCAGATATTTTTCTTGGATCATGTTATGTTGGATTTCTTGCCCAAGTGCTGGACTGTGGAATTAGCATTTTGAAAACAGATCAGTGTTTCTCAGATAGGATACTGACAAAATTGCCGGATGAGAGGCAGCCTCATTGACCCCTGTTAACATAAAGTACTATATTGAATTTGTTTATATCCTTCCTTGACTATGAGTGAGAGCTGAAGTTATAGAAAAAAAATGCACACTCATGATCACCATGTAAAAATGTAATTTTTCCCCTGAAAGCTGTTCAGAACCTGTTTTATTTATGTTTGTCATCATGACAATTATAATGTAAGCTATTTTCTTTCATGTCTGCAAGACTCAAGGCAATGACATACCAGAAATCAATATGTAATAGATAGTTGTTGTCATCAATAATCCTCAGAGAAACACCTTTAAGAGCCACACAAATCTGGCTCTCTCACTGCCCATAGGGCCCCCCCACCCCCTGTGTCTGTGGCTTTTCCTTCTAGGATTTTATTTTTGCCTTGTCTTTCTCTGAAGTCATGAGAAATGATTATTCCTCTAATCTGAAACTATTCTCCTCTACAATTTATATCATCACAGTGACTTTTATACTCACTTGTAGAAAAGTTTGGCTATTAATTAGGAGACACAAAGATACAACTCTTTGATTTTAATACCTTTTAAGCAAAAGTAAAACATTACTAAAAAATCCTTAAGTTATTATGTGTGACTTGAAGGAAATGAGTACTTGGCATTGAATTCACAACAATTCTATGAGAGAGACAAAGGGTAAATCGAATGTCATCAGGGTGTTCATTGAACAAAAGTCATATATTCAGAATAGAGTCTAGTACCCTGACCTCTTTGATTCTAAATTTTGTGGTCTTTACTACACCACAGTATCTTGCAAAAGATTTCAGCAAGCCTCTAGATTATACTTCTTTTTAATTTATAGGAAGGAGTGAGGAGCACATTTCTAGATTATCTATTTATATTCTTAGCTTTTCTGCTTTTCAAATAATGAAGAAATAGCATTTAGTAACTCTCATTTTCTAAACTTATTTCTGAGAAAAAAAAACACTTTGTCAACAAGAAAAATTGGTATCTATGACTCAAACATAACGTTCTGTACGTGCAGTCTAGATTGTGGGTAAGAAACATAGAATGAAATATTTGTATTTTATTCCCAATCCCTAAACTTCAAGCAAGGAAGAGAGCAGACAGGAAACACAGTGGGGGAAAGGTATATTTGGGTGAACTGTGGCTTTTAACACTAGTATCTAACCTATTTTTTTTAAAAAGAAATCTTATTTAAGTCAGATAACCTGACTGAACAGGAGAATGCAAAATATTCCCATGGAACATTTGTGCTACATAGAAGTCTGTAAAGTGTCAGATTTAAAGTAATGAGAGAGGAGGCAGTTAGAGGCTGGTTAGGCAGATAGAGAAGGAAGGTCTCAGGAGAAGGTAAATGTTCACAGGAACACCTGCAGGAGAGCACCTACACTGCCTCTGCAGCTCACAGGAAGAAATGTGCTTAAGAATTTTCCCTTGTGGCAGGTTGTTGCTCAGAGAGGACTGTCCCAACTTAGGCCCAGGCACAATAAATCAACCTAAATGTCCTTAACTTGATGCAACTAATTATAATGTCATTAATATGACATTAGTATTGTGGTTTGTAGTCCCCCAACTCCCTGCCTCCCTGCCTCCCCACCATGGGTTTGCCAAAGCACTCATGGGCAATAAGCAAGATAGAGTTACTCTGGCCAACCCCAAGCATGTGCAGGTGCAACATCCTTCTTCCGTTTTGGGCAGAACCCACGGAAGACTTCCTTGCTCTTGCCACGTGAAAGAACTAGAACTCAGCCCCATTTCTGGCAACCTGCTTTCTCGTCCTCTCTCTTTGCTGAGAGCTCTCCTTTTGCCTAATAAATCCTACTCTACTCACTGTTCAGTGTCCGTATGCCTTATTCATTTTGGTCAGGGGACAAGAACTCAGACCTAGCTGAACTAGGAACTAAGCAGACTGCAACAGTAATTCATAGTCTCATAGAAATGCCTTGGAGTTGTTTTTGTTTTGTTTTGTTTTTCCCTAAGAAGGCAAAAGTAGCTAGCATCACTGATACAGAGAGCAATATTATGGGCTTTCAGCTACCTTCCATATGTAGCAAAATTCCAGGGCTGGCTAGAGTCAGAAGAGCACAACCTTTGCAAGCGTCTTCCAATATATAAAACATTAACATCAGCCTAATTTCTTAAGAAAATAATACAATGGGAATGGTCCTAGAAAATAATAGCAGAGAGACAAAAGGGTGACATAGAGGCAAATATGAACACAGAGATGACAGAAATAAGGAAGAAAGTGAAGGAGAAAAATAACAAATATCCGTATAAGGATAGTAGAGAACTGTTATCAACTAGGAAAAAAGAATAAATGTTTTTTGGTTTGGTATAAAGAAGAAATTTCAAAAATTCAGAATATGAAGAAAACATATAGGTAAATCAAGAGACGAAGGGATGAAGAAGGTAGAAGAGACAGAGAAGAAAGAAATAAGGGGAGAAAGAGATGAGAAAAAAGGGAAAAGAGAGGGAGGCAGGGGGACAGAGAAAGGTGGAAGTAGAGAACAGTGATGCAATAAATCAGAATTGTTCACCAAGTTTTAGGTAAAATTAATGAAAAGTACCCATAATTAGAAATAGCAGTGTACATATAACTGCAAGGTAAAAAATAACAAGATAGTAGCCTATAATTCTGAAAAGATGAAAATAGTTTACACCTCCGTTGTGCTTTCTGGAGTGGAAAAGAGTTAAAGGTAGAGTTAGCTCTCTGGGAAATGTCAGTTTCTGCAGGGACATATTATCAATGAGACAGGATTTTCCACTGGGATGAAAACTACTCTTTAAGAAATTAATCAAAATCCAGAACTCAAGTAGGAAATTTCACAGTAGTAAAGAAGTAAACTATAATGCCTGTTAAGATTATGATTTAAAAATAAAATACAGAAGTAAAAAATAATTTTCGGAATGTAAGTGTAGGTTTAAATTGTGTACTATTGGCTGAGTGCTGTGGCTCATGCCTGTAATCCTAACACTTTGGGAGGCAAAGGCAGGAGGATCATTTGGGCCCAGGAATTTGAGACCAGTCTGGGCAACATAGCGAGACCTTTTCTCTACTAAAAATAAGCAAAATTAGTTGGGCATGGTGGTGCATGCCTATAATCCCAGCTACTTGGGAAGCTGAGATGAGAGGATTGCTTGAGCTTGGAAAGTTGATGCTGCAGTGAGCCAAGATCATGCCATCACACTCCAGCGTGAGCAACAAAACAAGATCCTGTCTCAAAAATAAATATATAAATAAAAAATAAATGTATAATTTTAAACACATTTTATTTAGAGTGGGTATACACATTTTACATTTCAAAGAGTGGGGTTGGAAAGACTGAAGGTTATTTTTGAACTAAAATTGAATTTTTTCTTCCTCCAAAAATAGAAAAATAAAAATAATTAGCTTTTTTATTTCTTGGCACTTGTAGACAATTTAGACTTCAGTAAAATTTTTATTAAACTGAAACAATCAAAAAGAATGAACAGGATTCAAGAAGAACAAATAACCACAATAGAGAAAAGTAAATAAATATATAAGCCATTAGAGAACTAGACAATAGCAAATACTAGCAATGAAGTATACAATATCAAGTATGACTGTGAGTTTAAATGGGCTAAGTTCCCCAATTAGAAGATACAAATTCTAAAATGTGGTTTAGAAAATCTATCAGTAAAAAAATAGAACTCGAGTTGTAAGATAGCCAATAAACAAAATAATAAAGAAAGCAGATGTAAACATATTTTTAGACTAAATAGAATTGAATTAGAAAGCATTTAATAGAGTGAATGTAGTATTTTACGTTTATAAAAGGAAACATGCAATGAGGATCATGAAATAAGATCTCTGTATTAAAAATCCATAAAATGCCTGCATTTATTTATTTACTTTAACCATTTTTAAAAGTAGATCTCTTGGAGTAGATTTTTATTGAAATATGTTCCTTTTGAGTATTCTGTAATTAAAATTCATTTTAATAGATGATATAATTTGGATGTTTGTCCCATCCAAATCTCATGTTGAAATCTGATCCCCAGTGTTGGAGGTGAGGCCTGGTGGGAGGTGCTTGGGTCATGGAGAAAGATCTCTGGTGAATGACTTGGTGCCCTCCCCATGGCAATGAGTGAGTCTTCACACTCTTAGTTAATGGGAGAGCTGCTGGTTTAAAAGAGGCTGGCATCTCTCTTGCTTCCTTTGCTCTTGCTCCCTCTCTTGCCATGTGACATGGCTGCTCTCTTTCATTTTCTAGCATGAGTGAAAGCTTCCTGCAGTACTGACCAGGAGCAGATGCTGGTGCCATACTTCTTGTACAACCTGCAGAACTGTGAGCTAAATAAATCTCTTTTCTTTACAAATTACTCAGTCTCAAGTATTCCTTTCTAGCCACACAAAATGGTCTAATATAATAGATTAACATTTTTAAAATAACCAGATCATAATTTTTAAAAATTAGCTTAACATTCAGGAAGTGTTTATCCTTCCTAGAACTGTTCACTCTCGGTTCTCTTTTGTTATTTATATTCTCACCAACCAGCAAAATTTTCTTCCACAGTTTTACTGAGGGACGTTTAAATCTTTTCTTGGGTATACCCTTCCTACATTACAATAATGAGCCCCGTGTATCCTTAATTGCAGAGAAACCTCTATTTTGTATTCATTTGTTTTATACCAATTTTTTTTCTTCCAATCTCATCATTTCCAGAGGGAAGCAAAAGTTCAATTCAGGAAATTTTATGACTGTGTCATTATGTCAGTGTAAAGATTATTCTGCAAACATGCAAATAAACTAACAAAAAGACTTAGTACTCAATAGGGCATTGAAATTCTCCTTTACAGCACAGCAGCCAGTGATACAAATTGAGTTTCATTCCATGGAACTGCAAAGTAGCTACTTCCAAAAAGCTGAATTTTAGCACTAAAACATGGGGTTGTCAAGGTACTTACAATAGGGGACCCTCTTGGCGCTTTGCTCCTACATCATTAGGCGTTAAGAGTCTTCACTCAACTGGAATTTCTTTCAAATACACAATTTGAAGTCATATAATTATATACAGCTTAAGACACATCTGAGATTTATTGAAAGTACAAGAGGAGATGATAGGTCTCTAAGAAACATTAGGCCCTGAGAAGAAGTCTTTATAATTAGAGGTGGATCTGATATTATGATGATTTTTTAATTTCATTGACAGAGTGTATTATTCTGGCTTGCATGTTCTGTCACAGAATTTGTTGGGTTTATTTCTCTAGTGCTGAATATGGAAATATATCCTGTAAGAAATATTTTTTCTTTGAAAGAAAAGCTATTAATTCACACTGAAACTTCTGGATAAATGCATAGTAGAAAAATAATGGGAAAACAAACAAATATGAGAAAAGGAAAGAGTAGCCTAGCAGAATAATGGAAGCTATTGGGGGGTGGATTTTTAATAATTACCATGCAAGAGAAAAATATTAAAAGGTGGTTTCTGATCTCTACACTTTGTTGACAGAACATAAACAGAGAGTCTGTAGAGAGAACCAATTAATTTCCTTTTCTCTAATGATACAGACCTGCTTGGGAAATAGGGCATGAGGATTGGTACAGCATGTTGCAATTGTTGTTACCTTCAGATGAATTCTCACTGTACATGTGCCAGATTCTGGTTTAGCAATTGACACATATAAATTAGCCCTGTAGTATCCATTATAACAAAAATTCCAATATAGTAATATAAGGAAGTATCTAAAACAGAGGTTCCCATAATTCCTTGGTTTATGGTGCACGTAATTTTTCAAAATTATTCCTAAGCCAAAATAAATTTCCAGCAGTTCTTTTTATTAAGTAGTTAAGTACAAAAAGTTAATAGTAGAAGTCGTGGATATCCAAAGGTACTGTTGTGTTTCCCTAGAAAATTAAAAGTATCCCATTGTGCCTTTTGAATACATTGCTGCACACCAGGATGGCAGTTTGGAAGCCACAGGACTAAAGTTATTTTGCTTGTGAATCTTCATTACAATTGGTTTATAAATAAATCAGGCTTAGAAATATGTTAAATCAACTTTTATTTTAATTATATTTGTACAGTAGGTGTAAAAGTTGCATTAAAAAAAAACTACTACAAGCAGAAGCAGGGCAAAGAGCTGAAGGTAATTTTCACTTCCCTTTACTTTTTAAAGGTATTATCATTTATTCAAATATGCATTATCAAGTAATTTATATATACTTCATGTAATAATAATATTCCTATCCCATAGGCATGTTTTTCCATATCCTTCCTGCCTGGTCATGTAGAACTCAAATGAACTTTCTTCAATTTGAGCTTTAACAAAGAAAGGGGACATGTAAGAAATCCACAGCATGAAAAACAATTATTTTTACTTCGGAATAACAACTAAATGTTGGTGATATAGGTAATGGGAAATGAAATACATATTGTGCAGTTGGAATTGCAAAGCATTTGCTCTAAATATATGTAATCTTCAACCTAGGTACAAACCCAGTGACAATATTTTATTCATTTAAAAATTTGCACAGTGGCTCACACCTGTAGTCCCACCACTTTGGGAGGCTGAGGCCTCAGGTGATCAGTTGCATCACCTTAGGTCAAGAGTTCGAGACCAGCCAATATGGTGAAACTCCATCTCTACTAAAAATACAAAAATTAGCTGAGTGTGGTGGCACACACCTGTAATCCCAGCTACTCAGGAGGCTGAGGTAGAATTGCTTGAACCCAGCAGGTGGAGGTTGCAGTGAGCCGAGATTGCCCCACTGTGCTCCAGCCTGGAAGGCAAAGTGACACTCCTTCTCAAAAAAAGAAAAAAATTATAATAATTCAAACTTAACTGTGATCTATGTCAATGTCTGTCAACATCATAAGACACAATGAAAGCAGGTAGGTTGTGCCATATTCTAATGCCATCATTGCCAAAGCAATGCTAATGTTTATGTCTGTAGCTACTGCACATATTCATCACTATGACCAAGTGTTACAAAGCACTAGAGAGGGAGAGCATGGATGAATACAGATATGTTCACATACTAGCAAGAATATTGTTGAAAGTTACTGAATTTTAAAGATTTGAAATAATAAATGAGTGTCACAGAAGACATTGAGATATACAGATGACTAGAGAAATCGAGGTGTAGATAAATAGACTGTGGTGGAATATATTCTATTTTGCATGGTAAAGTAAATAAAGAAATGGCGGTAGGTAGATTTGTGTGAGAGTGTTTTGTCAAGTCCTAATCCTGTGCCTTTTCTAGGTGTGTGATCTTGGACAAATTATTCAAGTTACCTGTATCTCAATTACCTCATTTTTATTATCATCATGGGAACAATAATATACTTAAATTTTAGGAATATTACAAAGATTATATTAGTAAATATATGTAAAGGATGTAAATTTGTGTCTATTAACTAGTAACTGCTGTATAAGCATTAGCAATTACCATTATTGTTTTATTGTTAGTGTTTAATTATTATTAAAAAATCAAAGGTACCACATATAAAATACCAAAGCAATAGAAGTAAATATTGCATTTACTGTAATTAGAAAAAATAAATCAAAAATATTTTTATTAAATTATAGTTACTGTATTTTCATTTTAAAGCATCTCCCATATGTTAGTTGCATCATGACAATGTATGTAACATTTGTCTCTCACAGTATGTTGTTTGGCCCCAAGTGATTTTTTTGCCTTAATGTAAAGAATGTTGAATGTTAGATCTTATATTTAATTCATTGAAAATCTATAGTAAATTAATTTCTAATATTTTCAATCACTTTTCTGAAGGTTTGTACTTGTTTTTCAAAATAAGTAAAATAAGAGGCTATGAAATGATTAGCAGAATATGAATATTGATTAAACTCTTGATAACCAGTAAAATTTTGGTAAACAGAATAATCAGAAAATAAAGTTTTCTGATATTAGTAATATTGGTTGACTTTTTTTGAATATCTACTTTGTGCTAGAAACTCAAAGTGTTTTATGTGTATCAACTCAGTTTATTTTATTGATACATAATATTTTACATATTTATGGTGTACATGTGAGTGTCTGTTACGTGCATAGAATTTGTAATGATCGAGTCAAGCTATACGGGGTATCCATCACCTTGAGTATTTAGCATCACTATATGTTGGGACCATTTTAACTTTTCTCTTGTACCTACTTTGAAATATACAATACATTGTTGCTAACTATAGTCATCCTACTCTGCTATTGAATATTAGACTTTTTTCTTCTGTGTAACTCTGTTTGTATCCATTAGCCAACCTTTCTTCATCCCACTCACATACCCTTACCAGCCTCTGGTATCTAACATTCTACTCTCCACTTGTTTGCCAACTCAATCTTCACAGAACATTATGTAAGTATTGTTATTGCCCCATTTACAGATGAGGAAAGAGATATTTAGATTTAGTGATAGGGTTCAGATTTGTATCCAGATGGTCTAGAATTTTGGTTTTTATTCCCCTTAACCACCATCTTATAATAGAAAGATAATCACCATATTAAAACAAGCACTGCTGGCTACAGATCAAAATGAAAATCTGAAACACAAAGTCTTTCTCTTTCTGCAGTACTATATTGAACCTGACTTTGTCTTAGTAATGGTTAAGGTTTTACACTGAAAAGAGTTTACTTTCTTTAAATTTGTCTTTTCTAAAATTCAGTGTAAAATACAGTTTTCTTATTCTGTCTGCTAACATTGTAGTAAACTAGCTCAGTATAGGAATTTCAAAATATTCTTAATAAAATTGTTTTGGATAAATAATACAACAACTTTGGATGAATATAGAAAGTTTTTAAAACAGTATATTGAGAAGGAATCTATGTGCAACAAACTGCACATGTTTAAAGTGACAAATTTTATATCTTTTGACAAATTTATATACTCATAAACCATCACCACATTCATGGTAATGTGTATATCTATCATTTCCTCCCCAATTCTCCTGACTTCAAACCTATCACATTGAAGTATGATGTTAGCCCTGGGCTTGTGATATATGGCCTTTATTATGTTGTGATACATTCCTTCTATAAACCTAGTTTGTTGAGCATTTTTATTGAGAAAGGGTGTTAAATTGTGTCAATTTTTAGTCTGTGTCTATTAAAATGATCATATGCTTTTTATCCTGCATATGTTGAACCATCCTTGCATTCCAGGAATAAATCCCATTTGATCACGGAGTAAGTTCCTTCTAATGTGCTCTTAAATTCAGTTTGGTTGTATATTTTGTTGAAATTTTCTACATCTATGTTCAGCAGGATATTGTCTTTAAATTTTCTTTTCTTAGAGCATCTTTGTCAGGCATTGGTATCAGGGTATTGCTGGTCTCATAAAATAAATTTGGAAATGTTCTCTCCAGTTCAATATTTTTTGAAAAAGTTTGAGAATAATTGGCCTTAATTACTTTTTTAATATTTTGTAGAATTCACCAGTGAAGCCATCTGGTCCTTTCATTGTTGGGAGATATTCTATTTGATTCAATCTCCTAACTTATTATTTGTCTGTTGAGATTTTCTATATCTTCATAAGTCAGTTTTGGTAAGTTGTATTTTTCTAGGAAGTTATCCATTTCTCTAGGTTATGCACTTTGTTACCATATAATTGAAAATACTATTTCTGTAGCATCAGTTATAATTTATTATCTTTCATTTATTTTATTATTTGAGTATTCTCTCATTTTCTTTGACTAGCTAAAGTTTTATCTATTTTGTTTATGCTTTTTTTTTAAAAAAAGAATCTTAGTTTCTTGGATCTATTGTTTTTCTAGTCTATTTCTTTGATTTATTCTCTACTTTTTTGTTTCTTTCATTCAGCTAACTTTCGGATTAGTTTGTTTTTACTTTTCTAGTTACTTGAGGCATAAGGTTAGATTATTTATTAAAGATCTCTCTTTATGTAGGTGTGTATTGCTATAAACTTCCTTCTGAGTGCTTTTGCTACATTTATAAATTTTGGTATGTTAGTTTTCATTTTCATTTCTCTAATTTTCTTTTTCAGTTCCCTTTTGATTTCTTCTTTGACTCATTGGGAGTTTAGGATTGTTTGTTTAATTTTCATGTATTTTTGAGTTTTCCAATTTTCCTCCTGCTATTGATTTATAGTTTCATACCATTGTGGCTGGAAAACATAACTGATATGATTTCAGTCTTCTTAAATGTAGACTTGTTTTGTGGCATAACATGTAAGGTATCATGAATAATGTTCTGTATGTTCTTGAGAAGAATGCTTGTCTTGCTGCTGTTGGGTGGAATGTTCTGTATAGGTCAGTCAGGTCCATTTGGTCTATAGAGTTGTTTAAGTTTGATGTTTCCTTACTAATTTTCTATTTGGATGTTTTATCCATTGATGAAAGTGAAATACAGCAGTCTTCTGCTATTATTGTATTTCTGCTTATAGATTCTGTTTTTCAATACCTTTATTAAGTGTATATTTTTCAAATATTTTATCTACATGTGTGGCTGGTCTTTTCCTTTTCTCAATAATATCTTTCAAAGGACAACATTTTTAAATTTTGATTAAGTTTAATGAATAAATTTGTTTATTTCTGAATCCTGCTTGTGATGTTATATCTAAGAAATATTTGTCTAACCAAGTTTGCAAAGAATTCTCATGTGTTTTATGTAGAATTTTAAAATTTCAGTTTTTAACTTTTGGTGCATTATACATTTTGAGTGAATTTTGTCTATGGTGTGAGATATGTATGAAAGTGCTTTTATTTTTGCCAATAGAAATTCAATAGTTTCAGAAACATCCATTAAAAACTATCTTTTCTTAACTGATGTGCTTTTATATTTTTGTTAAAAAAGTAAGCTATCAATACATGATAATTCTGGCCTCAAAGATGAATTAAGGAATATTTCCTCCTCCTCAATTTACTGGAAAGTTTGAGTAGAATAAGTTTATTTTTTTCTTAAATATTTGGCGAAATATCCCTTGGATTCCATCTACCACTAGGGTTTTCTTTGCGATGAAGTTTGCAACTATGAATTCAATTCCTTCAACAGTCAAAAATCGATTGTTGATTTCCCTTTTGTAGTTTCTTACTTACCTCCCTCCATTTTAAAGGAATATTATACACACACCCAGGTTTGCTCACATATTCTATATTTGGATCTATATATGTATTTATTTAGAAATTAACCTTAAGCCAGGCATGGTGGTGTGTGCCTGTGATCTCAACTACTTGGGAGGCAGGGGCAGGAAGATCCCTTGAGCTCAAGAATTCAAGACCAATGATAGCAGCAGTAAGCACTCTGGCAGTTAGGTGCAGATGCCTGGTGAAACCCCATTTTCAACCCTGAAAGCCAATCTACAAGTGAAATCCATGGACCAGATTGAGAACCTCTCTTCCTGTTCAGCACCCTTTCTTCTGATTAATCCTTACCCTTCACCTGTTTTACATATACCTACTTTTCTCTAACTGGTTTTTTACACTACCCTGCCCACCTTTGACTGGCGTCTTTGTTTTAGCCTTTCTGCATACTCACAAACCAGTCACTATGCACTCCCCCATTCTGAGCCCATAAAAGCCCCAAGCCTTGCCACACTGGAGGAGAAACCACCCAACTTTGGGTGGGGAACCACCCTCACATCCCCTCTCCACTGAGAACTGTTCTGTCACTTAATAAAATTCTTCTCCACTCTCCTCCCACTACAATTGTCAGTGCTACCTCATTCTTCTTGGATGTGAGACAAGAATCTAGGACCTGCTGAGCAGCATGGGCCAAAGGAACTGTAAGCTCTAAAGTTGTAAGGTCTAAAGTGATTAATCCACTCCAGCATTCCAATCTCCCTAAGCCTTTGAATCCCTTCTTCTTCATTAAATGATCAGGCATTTCCAGCTCGCTCACAGTGGGCCATCTTTTGATCCATATTTCAGCTAACTAAGCAAATAAATGAATGACAAGAACCTTTTTTAACTCCCCGAGCTGCAACACTAAATGCAGGATTCCTTCTTAGTGGGCACATATCAATAAATTCAGCCTGGTCCAACTTTATGTTCCTTCCACCATTATCCCACACCCTTAATATCCATTCCCATGCCTGTTCTCCAGATTTCTGCTTATATAAATGAGAAAACTCAAGCAGTTCTTTTGGAGTGTAGTGCACCTCCTCATGGGTCACATTCAGAATCTCACCTCTGGGGGCCTGCCGGGATTTCGTTACAGGTCTAGAAGCAAACCGGGGTGTTGGGGGTAGGTCCTGAGGAGAATCAGCATTGTCTTGACTGACAACTGCCTCAGGGGAAGCCATCACTGTTGCCTCAGGTAGTACATGGTTAATCTCCTCAGACAAAGGTGGAAAGGCTGAAGGCAGCGTGGGTCGGGGAGTGGATGTTCCTACCACTGGAGGTGGGGAGGTTGTTTCTTCTGGCAAAAAAAGGCTCATAAGAGTTTACAAGCTCAGTATCTCCAGTTTCCTTATTCCAAATTGCAGCCTCCTATTCTTTTCCAATTAATACCCCTACTTTAACAGTAGACACTTGGTGAGACTGAGTGTGTACCTTTCTTTGCAGGTCAGCCACTTGCATGAGAAGAGCTTGTGCCTGATTTTCTGCGATTTCAGCCCTTTGTCTACAGGAAATAAGATTCTCGCTTGGCAATCTTAGAAGACTTGAGGCTCAGTATGTGCTTCTGGAGCCAGGAGTTAGAATACTTGAGCTCATCCTTTTTCTTTTGTCACTTTGTCCAGCAAACTTAGGAGCAACTAAACAACTTCATTATATTCCTTGGTACTCCACATATGGTCAAAAGTAATATGTATAGAGTCACTAAACTCCTTGCCTTTCATTAGCAGTGAATCAGGAGTGTCAAATGCATTTATTTTGCATAATTCTCTAAATAGTTCATGCCATGGACTATTAATGTTCTCCATACTAGAGCCCTTAGCATTTTTCAATCTAATCATGTTAAACACCAAACTCCAGAAAACCTACAACCCACTAAAGAAATCCATCCTTAAAATTCTATTCTTCTAGAACCACTACTAGTACCAAAATCTGCATTAGTCAAGGTCCTCTAGAGGGACAGGACTAATAGAATAGATGTATATATAAAAGGGAGTTTATTAAGAAGTCTTCACTCACATGATCATAAGGTAAAGTTCCACAATAGGCTGTCTTCATGCTGAAGAGCAAAGAAGTCATTCCAAGTCCCAAAATCTCAAAAGTAGGGAAGCCAAAAGTACAGCCTTCAGTCTGTGGCTGATGGCCCAAAAGCCCCTGGCAAATCACTGGTGTTAAGTCTGAGAGTCTAGAAACAGAAGAACTTGGAGTCTGGTGTTCAAGGGTAGGAAGAAGCATCCAGCACAGGAGAAAGATGAAGGCCAGAAGACTCAGCAAGTCTGCTCTTCTACCTTCCTGCCATGCTGGCATCTGATTAGATGGTGCCCAACCAGATTGAGAGTGGGTCTGCCTCTCCCAGTGCACTGACTCAAATGTTAATCTCCTTTGGCAACACCCTTACAGACACACCCAGGATCAGTATTTTGCATCCTTCAATCCAATCAAGTTGACACTCAATATTAAGCATCACGGAACTCCAAGAGTTAAAAGTGAATAGATCTCTCTCAAAATCTGTTTTTGTCTTCCAGCTGTGCCTTCTTACTAAACTGTAGAAACTGCATTTTTTTCCTAGCCATGCTTCTTGAAGGGCTCCACCCTGAGGCCAGAAATCAATTAGGAAATTGGCAAATGAAAAATCTTACAGCTACTGTTTCTTTTTCTGTCTGTCTGTGTAATTATATATGTGTAGTTTGTATCATGTTTATATTGTTAAAAAGCTCTAATTAATTTGCTTAAAGAAAACATAAGCACTTAGATCAAATATTTTTAAAGGAAAAATAAAAGCTGTAATGCCTTTTAGTTCATGTGACTTTAATCTTCGAGAAATAAAAGCAGCTTTCAAGGTTATTGGCAAAGTAAAAATGTCTTCAAAATGTAAATATGTGGTCTAAATTACATGGTCAGATATTGGGTCTCCTAAATGCTTTAAGGTTATAAGCTGCTTCTTTGGCTTTTGAAAATTGTTGGACTTGCCTGTTTTACAGTTTGATAAGGCATAGAGTCATTTGGAGTTAACCATGCCCCTAACTATGCTGAAAAGAGTCAGACCTTATCTGCACCTAGTACATAATTAAAATGACTTGCCAAGTTTTACACCAAAATTAAAAATTACTAAGAGTTACCATTATAACATGTTATTGAGACTACTGAAGATAGATTTACATGCAAGTTGTGTAAGGAAAGTAGAATGTGTTTTTAGTAAAAGATTATAAGAAGGCATGGGAATGTAAATTTTTGCCTCATTTAGAGGGTTAAAGGATTGTTTCAAATTAAATAAAGCTAAAGGTTTGAATAAGTTGTGGACGGTTTGTAAAAATTAATCTTGTAAAAGCAATTCTTTGTATGAACATATTGACTAAACTCAAAATGGTATTATTTGTTTTTTCTGTAAACTGAACATTGAAATCAAAGCACAACAAGGTTTTCTTAAGACACAGATCTACACTTTAACAAAAATTTTTGAAGGGTTATAAAAGGTTTATAAGAATCTCCCCTCATGGTCAAACTGGTTAAGGATAATATAAAGTTTTAAACCTTTAACATATTTGATGGGATTCCAAAAATCAAATTTCAGCTTCAAATTTGTCTTTTCTAACCCCTAACTTGTGGACACTACAGAGGGTTCCTGAAGCATCCAAAAGAGAGGTAAACAGGATTATTTGACATGTTTAGTTACATGAGATTTCTAAAACTGTAATGTCTGAGTGTATCCTATCATTCATAATTAAGGTTATTAGGTTAAGTTATTGTAAACCACATAAATAACCAAATTTCCTTGTCAGTCATGTTTTTGACTATGACTACCTGAAGACAATTTTGTCATTCACAGACAATGGTTATCTTGTTTTAATCCTCTTCAAAAGGTGGTGTATAATCAGCTATAGGACCTTGACAGGTGCTCTCAAATGCACGTTTCTTATTGGAGATTATGACATTTGAAGAGAGGAAAAACATTTAGGACTGATGGAGAACTGAAATGTTCATTAATAACAAGCAGAACAAGAGTTAACTAAATGGACTAAATTAGCAGAAGACTAAATAAATCTTTTTAACATTTTGCTTGAAACACTGTTTTTCAGAGTCATGGAAACTTTTATTTTGAGCTATTTACAGCTATTAAGAATTGAATAAGGTATACTCTTGTGAACAAAATTTGGAGCATATTTGTTTCTCTCTGTCTGGTTTCCTCAAAACGTAGAAACTATTGGTGAATATTCTCAACTTATGACAATGTAGTTATTTGCATAAGAGCAATAAGAATCCATTTTCTTTCGCAACAGCACACAATTGGAGAAACTGACAAGGCTTTGACTGGAATAATGTGCTTCCCTGTAAGGAATCAAGCTTGACTTGCAGAGTCAGTAAAAGCCCCTTGGGAAAACTGGCCTCATACCTTGTTTACACAGTTCCTGTACGGGGTTCCTAACTGGTGGTAAGTAAAGAATGTAATGTTTTACAGGTCCAGGAGCCCCAAGTTATCTTGTGACCTCAAGAAGAGAGAAATTTACCCAATTCATAGGTATTTGAGACTAAAACCCACGGCTGGGCTCGGCTTTAAAAATTCTTACCTGATGTTCCTTATGGAACAGACTTCCATCCGAGCCAATTTAAAAAGCCTATGTGAAAATATTTATTCTTGCTGCACTTTATGCAAATAATCAGGCCAAATGTAAGACTAAAGTTTATTTTGCAAACAAATCAATTCTATTATGATTTATTTTTAACAAAAATAAGAATTGGAGATGGAAAATTATGTTTCAAAACTTGTCATACACTTGTCATTAAATTCTAGTATCATTAATTGTCTTTAAGTTCTTGTCTGCATTTTAGACTAACCCTGCTTATTCCTGTGAACCAACCAGTGATCTCTGGCTGTAGCTCAGATGAAACAAAATGGATGGATAATGGAAAATAAGACCAATGGAGCTAACCAAGCCATGACCCATGCACCCAAGTCTTAGCAGGTATAACAATAGCCTCCAGTTATCTGGGCATGTTGGCAGCCTTGGGATTTTTAAGCTGTCCTTCCCCCCTTGTTTCATTTTGATCCATGTCTTCTAATAACCTAGTTTGTCTTTTCTCGCATTTAGGCCATCAGACTCTAAATGGTCATGCAAATGGGAGCCCCACATGATGCCTCTCTTTTAACAGGGACCCTTAGACAGGCCTCTGAGGGAGATCTGACTGCTGTCTTCCTAAAACAGTGCCCCCTGTCAGCAGAAAGCAGTGAAGATCAGTCATCGTCCCCGTCCTAATGGCAGTTAGATGTACCTCTTCAGAGGGGAAAATTGATAGTGGCAGGAAACAGTCAAATGCCTAGGCAGATAGGGGAAGGTCCCTGGTGAAACCCCACCTTCAAGCCAAAGACAGTTTAAAGCCTGAAAGCCAAGCCAGAAGTCAAATCCATGGACCAGATTAGGAATGTCACTTCCCATTTGGCACACTTTCCTCTGATTGATCCTCACCCTTCACCTATTTTACATATACCTAACTTTCCCTAACTGATTTTTTTTACGCTGTCATGCCCACCTTTGAGTAGTGTCTTTGTTTTAGCTTTTTTGCATACTCACAAACCAATCAGCATGCACTCCCCAATTCTCAGCCCATAAAAGCCCTGGACCCAGCCATACTGGGGGAGAAACCATCTGACGTCAGGTGGGGGATCACCCTCTCATCCCCTCTCCACTGAGAGCTGTTCTGTCACTCAGTAAAATTTTTCCCTGTCTTCCTCACCCTTCAATTGTCAGCATAACCTCATTCTTCTTGGATGCAGGACAAGAACCTGGGACCCGCTGAACAGCTGGGGCAAAAGGAGCTGTAAGCTGTAGCCCTGCCATCCTTTGCCAGTGCCAGGTGGCGTCCCCATGAGATGGGAAACAGAGGTAAGGCCAGGCCAGTCTGGGAGCTGCAGGCTGGAGTGGGGCAATTAGGAAAAATGAGCTGAGGCCCTACTGGCCACAAGTTTCCTGCTGGCAAAGCAGGACTGAGAAACATCCTGTATCACCAACATAGTGAAAATCCATCTCAAAAAATTAAAAATTAAAAAATAATTAACCTCAAGTATTCCAATTTTTTTAAAGTTCTCTTTCATGTTATCATAATAAAGTCAATGCAAGTAAGGATGTATTTTTTTTATTTCCCTGAAATCTGAAAACTATTTAAATTTGTGTCTAATGACAGTACTTATTACCTAAAATTATTTATAACATGAGGAAAGATACTAGTCTAGGGATCAGGATACTTTGTTACAATTCCTATGGCTATTGACTAGATCACTACCATGTGACTTAGAACAGTCCACTCAGTCTCCCTGGGCATGATTTTTCCAGAAGGTGAAACTATGTATTTAGCTCAATGATTTCTGGACTCTTTCCTTACTCAAGCTTTATACAGTATCCCAATTGTTTGATCAAAAGCATCTATTATTTTACTTAAATAGGTATGACTATTAAAGTGTGGAGACATATTACATACAAGGGAAAAGAGAATTTGATTATATAACTATGACCGCACAGGGGAAAATACCTCCACTTTGAAAAAGATATTCTCTTCATACAGGAAGTTAAGTTTAACCAATGCCTGACAATGTACTTTAGTGTGCTTAACTGGATCTTTAGCTGAATATAAGAAACTTTTCTCTATTCAATTTATACCCCAGGGAAATGAGTGGAAAATGCAGATATAATATTGATACATATTGTAAAGTTCTTTTACCTGGAAATTTTTTTTCCTCAGATGTTTTACTGCACCAATGTTGGAAGCCGGAAAGCATGGAATGCTTAACTGAAAAGCTCACATGTAAATGTCTAGGTAACTAGTCCACAAACATGTACAATATATGTGCCCTTTTAATATTTTACAACAGTCCCAAGAGGCAATAAGGCTGTGATTGTGTTAGCATAAACTTAGGACGTGATGATCTTACCAATAGTTTTAAAATAAAATAACTACATAGTTCTTTTACTAACAAACAGAGAAGTAATCTTACTCAATTTTTTCAACACATACTAAACAGACAGATCACATATATATTCCCCAGATGTTTGTGATTCTCTATATTTGAACACTTATGCATTTGAAACCATGTGGCAGAGCTTAGCTCATGCCTCTGTGTAATTTTCTGTTTGGCCAGGTATCCAGTTTGATTCTAAATGTTTCAGGAAGATAGAGAAAGTGTTATCAGGGAAAAGAGTGAAGTTATATATATATATATATATGTGTGTGTGTGTGTGTGTATGTGTGTGTGTGTGTGTGTGTGTAGGTTATGTGTGTGTATATATATAAATTATACACAGTGTATATATGTACACACATATATATGTGTGTGTGTATACGTACAGACACACATATATATATATTCATTGTGTTAAGTGAAATATTTTATCTCTGGTAATCAAATTAGCTCAATCATTTGTACTACAAATAAAGCATTCTGATCTTAAGCAACATTATCTAGTTCCTAGTTGGTACTTCATAAGTAAAAATGATTTAGAGTCAGGTGACCTATTAGTGAATAACTGTTTAACTCTGTAACCCTCCGTAATTTATTTAATCATGATTTACTTCACTTTCTTCAATGAAAAAGTTAATAATTCATTCTAAGAGGTTTGTAATTGGGTTGAATGTGTTGAAGCATAAGTGCAAGACACTAATATACACCATTCTTTTGCTTTCTACATTCTTACATACTCAAACATTCAATATCTATCTGTCATCCATTCTTTCAGATTTGATTGAGGATCTTGTTGGAAATACGGTCACTATTTCACAGTAAAGTGGGATAAAATGAGAGAGCTTTGGGAGCTCATGGAAGATGACCTATCTCTCCTTAGTGCTAATGTTGTCCTCTAAGACACAGCCCACCTTTTTGCTGAGCAAAAATTTCAACACTTGTATACTAATATTTATATATTATTTAAAATACCTAGAGACAATTCCAAAAGTTTCAACTCTGAAAATTTGTTCAGATATGGATCCTTTCCAAAAACACTAAAGCTTTTTCCAAGTTCATGACATTTTAACCAAGAAAAAAATGCTATGTAGAGTTCTTTTCTTTTGAGATTAATTTTGAAATTCTGGATAAGCAAAGATTCATAGTTCAGTTTTGAAGTAATATTTGATAGCTATAAATGACACAGTTCTCTTCCCTTACAGACTTCAAAGCACTTTTTAAGAGTAGCCTGTGAATCCTTAGAACATTTTTTTCTGACAAGAAGCAAATGTTATTATCCGTATTTTCTCCCTGTGTAAAAAATATATATGAAGCTGCCAGGCGCAGTGGCTCACACATGTAATCCCAACACTTTGGGATGGGCAGGTGAGACCAGGATGGGCAGATCACCTGAGGTCAGGAGTTCCAGACTAGACTGGCCAACATGGGGAAACCCTATCACCACTAAAAATACAAAAATTAGCCAGGTGTGGTGGCACACACCTGTAATCCTAGGTACTTGGGAGGCTGAGGTAGAAGAATCGCTTGAACCCAGGAGGTGGAGGTTGCAGTGAGCCAAGATTGTGCGCCATTGCACTCCTGTCTGGGTGCCAGAGTGAGATTTCTTCTCAAAAAAAAAAAAAAAAAAAACAAGAAGCTATTCTGAAAGCATTTCAGAGATATAGAAATTGGGAATAAAATTAATGACTTATGATGCCCTCTTTTAAGTACTAAACTATGTTGCATTTTTCAGATTACACAGCTAATATCAATAAAAATATTTCAATACCTTTTGAAATTGTAAAGAAAATCAAAATTTTATAAAATTCCATATTTATTGTCTTATTGATTCTTCTTTACAAAATTTTTTCCCTGCTGTTTGTAAAGCTCTTAGAAGTGATTTTTAATGACATTTCAGATGTAGAAATAAATATAGATTGTTTCAAGGTGTTGTTGAATAAATTAATAAATTGGTGGTAAGGACAAAAAACTTGATTTCTTTCCATTATCTTAATGACTTTCTTTATTTGTTGCTTTCAACAAATAAAGGTTTCAGCTTTATATAATTTTTTACACTCACTTGAAGTAGATAAAAAGGTTAAATATATTTTTTTCTTGGTAATGAAATGTAATTATATTTATAACGTGCTTAGTAAAAGAAAAATGTATATTGAGGCATTTCTCACCAACTGACAGAGCCCTAATTAGTGAGTAAAATTTGTTATTTATTATGGCTTTCTTTTGAGTTAATCTTTAAAAATAATTTTGTCTTCCTTTAAATACTTTTGAAGAAATTATTAGATACCTATAGATAATATTATTTTATATTAATTTTCACTTGTATATGTAAAACATATTTGTGTTGTTTAATTGCCCAATGTCATATAATTTTTCTTTCAAATAACATGTTATTTTTGAATCTCGTTATATGAACAAATAACTTACCTCAAAATAATCTTAATAATGAAATATCATTGATTTATAGTGAGATAGTCAGTAATATATTAGATCTCAATGACCACTTAGAAAAAATATTTTGTTTAATGGTCCTGAATGCAAAATTTATTAATCATGCAGCTATTCTCATTTTTAAAGTATGTCATATTTCCATTATTCATTTCTGTTACTTTTGTGTACCAGTTAAGAGGATACTACAGATCTTCTCATTTCAAAGTTCAAAGGGCATCAAACTGCAGTCAGTTTCAGCCTTGAATTAATCATTGCTATTTTTAATGCATAAAGATCCTGTGTCAAATCCTAAAAGCTTGATCTTACAACCAGTGCCATATCCTCTTTCATTAAAGTACCAGATGTTGTCAATTTGTAGTTTGCACATTTAAATAATATACTAATCTAAAATATGCCTTCATTGAAACTATAAAGAAAACTGATTCCTTATCTGATCACTATTGAATGATAAAAAGGCACTGACAAGTTATTTTATAGAACACGACAGCATTTTTCATCAAAATTCGTTATTATTAAGATATCTCTAGATTTTGTAGTTAAAATATTTGAGGGCCAACGTTTACATTTTCACTAATTGTAGACATTTGGACAAAAGTAATTTCCTATAATGTAGTTCCCCAAATATGAAAATGACAAAAAATGGAGCGTGTTGCAAGAAAAATATTTTGCAAATTGACAAACTAAAGGCAGTGACAACACCCTTGCATAGTTAGTAACATCATTCCAGCATTTTAATGTCTGCCCAATTATTTTCTTTTTTATGTTGGATCTTTACGTTCATTAAGGCTGTAATGGGGTGCAAGCCAGTAAGCAAGCCATATATTCAATCAACATCTAGAAAAAGGATACCTTTGAGGCAAGTACTGGATATAATGACATGAAAGATGCTATCCTGAGCCAAGATGTGTCACTTTCTAACTTCGATATGGATTTTCCTTTTGAGTATCAGTAGTCTTTGTTTTCATGTTAACTTCAGGCTGAGTCATCTTTAAAAAGATTAAACATGGAAGTCTACCAATGTTTCCATGCTGGTCTTTCCACAACCATGCGAACACAATTATGTCCCTCCACTACCCCAACACACATAAACACACACACACACACACACACACACACAGTCACATGGATATATCTCTGTCTCTAACTCGATGGCTACCTGTGTCTGTGTCTATGTTTACATATATATCTCTGTATATATAAACATTTCCATGCCAACACACAGACTCTTAAAACCTCAAAAGGAGTATAGATTATTTGATGCATTTTGTTTACCTGTTTTCTTTTGCATGTCCAAGCAACTGAACGGGCTCAACTCTGTGAGGCCAAGTGGTTTGCAAAGAGATGTGGTACTCATTAATTCACACAAATCATGATCCACAAACTCCTGTTACAAGATTGTTTTTTTGAAGCAGACTAGGGCCCTGTGGTTGTCATAAACTTCCTGGGCTGGGCCAGCCGGCCAGAAGGGAATTGCTTTTGAGAACAGCCCCTTAGCTGGCTGCGCTGCAGAACTGCTTCAACATGCCAGCTGTTCCCTCACAGGTTGCCCAAGCAGTTTCTACTGGCCTGATAGGTATTTTTTGTCCATCCCCAAAAGCATGGTGAGGGAGAAACCTGTGTGGCATTGCTAACAAAGAGCAAACTTTCCAGTACAGCTGAATGATTTCAGTGACTTTCTCAACACTGTTTCCTATTTTGCTGACAAGACACTCACTACATGGTGCAAAGTATTGCTGGGACGTGACAGACTCATCATGTTCAATTTTCCTAAGAATTGAGAACCACAGGTGAGTGACAGACCTACTTTGTTTTATTAAACAATAATTTTATAAAATATAAACCATGCCTTTCTCTTTTAACAGAAATAGGATTCAATATATATCTATATATCTATATCTATATATCTATAGATATAGATATAGATATAGATATATTTATATATTTCTTTTTAGCCAAAATGGTGTTGGGTGTGAGATTCTAAAGCACGCTCCCTTTTTGAGATGCTGGATTTGCTAATCTGTCAAAGCAACTAATGTGCTGCTCAGGTATCTGCAGAGTTTCTTCTTCATTATGTGGAACACTGAGCAATTGCATTGGGAAGACTCAGAAATGCCAGGGACATTACCATCTGGAAAAAGCAGAGGAAAAATGCTGACTGGCTGTGATGCTGAAGAGTTGGATTACTGGAAAACTCAGTAATGGGCAGACCCCTATGCTTATATCCACTGGAAAAAGGGTCTGTCAATTCGAGCAAAATAATGGTGCAAGTTATGGGATGAAGAAATATGTTTTCCAATATTTATTGTGAAATTTTCATTTCATATTAAGAATTATTTTTAAATGTAGTACAATTTCAATCCTTTGCTCAGTAGCTCTCTCCCTGAAAATATTCCGTTTTTATTGTTATTTCATTCACTTTGTTTTTACCTGTTTATATAGAACTCTGATTTACTGCTGTTTGTAAAAATAAACTATTGCTCTAAGTTCAATGGAAATACCTACATTCAAGAGGTATAGAATAATATGTACACAACTATTTAAAAGTAAGTATAAAAACATTACTGTACATATTTTTTAAAAAAGAAAAATAAAGCTAAAATAATTGTTACAAACAGAAAAAAAAATCAGGATAAACTGAGCATTTTTTTTTAGTATGGTTCTTAAAGAATGCTCTTAAAGTGAGTACAAAAAGTATATATAGATTAAATCTGTTACAAATCTCAAACTAAGCCTACTCACTAAATTAGACCTAGGCTCATAAAGATATTAACAAAAATTTGGATCAAAAATAGAGAAATTAGCAAGGATAAAGTAACAGTTCAAAATCACAGAGCTGGCCAAAAATGAAAAATTCATAGTAATTTTCTTTGTTCATTTGGTAATTACTATCCTATCTGTATTTATTCTTCTCGTATATTTTTAGGACAGAGATTCATTGCTACTGACTCTATATCTACTGCTATATTCTTATCCAATGTTAAGGTTCAGTGCTTCTGAGATTTCATATTTTTATTGATGCCAAATTAATTCACATATATAAGTACTAACACAGTTTTGCAATGCAGTTGTTTTATTGCTTGCTTGATTGAGAGAGAAAGAAAGAGAGAGAGATGGCTCAGATCATCACAGGCCTTGAAGTCCCTCCACTCTAGACAACGAGGATAATATACTTGTATGCCCTTGACCTGATATTAAAAATTCTATTTTTTTTTCATTTTTTGTTGACTATTAATGCTTCTTAAGTTTATAATATGTGTGAATAGATTTCCATGGCACAGATTTGCATATTTTATAGAAAAAAATCTACTTTCTCTGTTAGAAGAGCTGGAGTTGACAGTGCTATTTTTGGTGGGAAGACAGAAAAATGATGCTTTGAGGAATTAACTCTTATTTGTCACGTATTAATGCTGGTATCATGGATGATCAACGCATGCCATGGCTTTGAATAATAAATTAAAAATAAAAAATGATTACTTGCACTGATAAAATTATATGTGAATTTTTCCAGCCAAAGATCAATACGTAGTTGAGGTATAAGTGGTATACCATTTCCTCAAGCATCAAACGCACACAAACGGACTCGCAGCACAAAAAATTGTTAGTGACATTTGTCTTTGCCTTGAAGGAATCAATAATTAATTGGGTTTGCAGCTTCATTAACCTCTTTTAGTACTTTAGGAAAGTACATGTAGTCTTTTGGAGGTTAATAAAAGAAGTCTGCATAGGTGAAACAAGCAAGCAAACAGAAAGACCCTGAAGTAGAATTACAACCCAAGTGCAATCCCATCCCCTTCTCTGCTTTATTTTGTTTCAGTGACTCTATGACCACGTACTGTATTATACGGTTTATTTATTTATTTTATTTATTGTCTCTCCTTTTAAACTAGAGTATGAGCTCGAGGAATGCAAGGGTTTTTGTTTGTTTTGTTTGATACTATATCTCTAGTGCTTATATCTGTTCCTGGCACACAAGAGAAGTTTAATATCAATTTATTGAACGTAGGAATAAACAAAATGCTTCATATGTGTTTTTCTTTCTACCAAGATAATGTAAGAAATGCCATGACTCTAATCAACTAATACTATGTGGTAATTAGGTCCATCAGTATTTAATTGTGTAAAACCATCAGCTGTTGTTTGTGATACGAAGATGTGTAAACAGGAGACTCTTTCTCCAGAAACTGTAATATAGTTTATCCAGACACCACAGAATCACACGACAGGAAATGACGTTGGTGAAGTGTGGATTGTAGGGAATAAATGAAGAAAAGGAATTCAGAAAGGATGGACAGACTCCTTATGACTAGAATGCCAATTCCTACTAAGTTGCTTTTTTGCTTGGCTTCTTTTGATCTTCAAAGGCATGTTGCTTGTGTGTTTACAGGACTTGACATTACCATGTGGAAATACTCAACACAGAGACAAATCCCATATGTTTCTTCTATTGATTCATTCTTGCAAGAAATGAGGTGGTGAGAACATCATTTCTAGCTCTGTCAACCGTCTCCCACTTTCCCTCTTGCTCTGTGAACCATTGCTTTATTGTCTCAATCCCCTACTTTTTCACTGACAAGCAACAGTGAATTTGTAAATAATTCTGATATTATCATGTGGAAACAGTCTACATGTACAAATAGCTAGAAACTCTTCCTTTTCTTTTTGGAAAGTTGTTTCTAAATTGGAATCCTTTCATTTGATTTAGCTTCTGGTAGGTGAAGTAGTGAAATTAAGTGGAGATAACAGCATTACCAAAATATAATTAGAAACAGGACACATGGGATCCCAGCTTTGGGGTCTGATGGTGAGTCATTGTAATGTGTCGGGAACACCAAAAAGAGGATAATCTAATAAAATTGAAGTTGTGCTGAGCAACAGCTGTAGTGAGCTGCTATTCAATTAGATTTTGTCATTATTTTTTTCTATATTTCTTTCCATTTGCTAATGCCTTGTAAGGATTATGTGTGGCTAGGTGGTATTATACATTTTCTTTGTTCTTATAAAATGTTTTAAAATGCATAAAACGTTGGAAAATGCCAATTGTCAAGTTTGAGTTTAAATACTATCCCTTTATTTTATATTTGCTAACTAAGTCTATGCATTCAATCAATTTTCTGAGCAACTAAAACAGGCCAAGTACTGATTAGGTACTGAATTCTATTTGGATGGCAGGGGATAGAGAAAATAAAATAAAACATAGGAAAATATGCTAGCATGAAAATAAAACAAGATGATGGAATTGAGAATTATTGAATACTACACTAGATTTGGAGGTCATGTCAGAAAAAAAAACATTCTGCTAGTGGAGGGAGGTGTTATATGTATGGCAAAACCTGAATGACAAGGATAAGCCAGTCTTCTGAAGATCTAGGAGATGCTTTCAAGACAGAGGACACTAAGGGAGAGTGAGTTCATGCATATCGGCCAACAAAGGGAAAGCAGATGTGTCTAGTGTGTGGTGAGTTTGGCGGTCACAAGTGAAAGTGATAGGGAATTGTTGGGGTGGAGAGGTAAGGTCCAGATCATGGAGAACATTATGGTATCAAATATTTTTTATGTTCAAGTCTAGAGAGTTTGATTTCTTCTTTCTATAGGTCTATGATTGTGCAGAAACAGTTGGGATTCTTACGATTTTGCTAATCTTTATAGCCTCTTCATCATAGTAAATTGGCTGATTAAGTAACATCTTAGACAAAGATTACTAGAGACCCTGACCCAGAGGGAACCCTTACATTTAATTTCTGATATATCTGTGCCCTTGAGATCACAGAATAAAATACCTAAAACCAAACCAAAATAAATAGATAAATGGTAGGGTCAAATATCACAAGTTAGAGTAGGCTGCACAGGTCTTGATTGACAGAATTCCAAAAGATGATGCAATGAGGAGAGAAGATTAGGAGACAGGTAGGTACAAAAATGATAGATAGATATTTGGATAGATAGATAGATAGATAGATAGATAGATAGATAGATAGATAGAGCTGCCACACTCATTAAGTTGGACATTGAGACACAAGATGTCTTCAGGACTGGTCTTTTTCTTGACTACCTTATCTTCATCTTTTTCTTGACTAAATTCTGAGCAGGCCAAAACTACTGCAGGGCTTAGAGAATCTTGTGCTCAATAGGACAACTTATCTGACCTCTAAAATAATGAGTAATATAAATATTTCAGTCCCAATTACTGTCTAGTTAAATTAAACAAAATCTTCTATAAAGCAGAATGCAATAAATAAAATGTTTTATAATCTGAATGTGATATAGTTTCTATAGCTTTTTATTCTCTCTTAAAACACTTATTTCTCATTTTGTACATTGTCTTGACAAAAAGGACTATGAACTCTAAACATGACAGTTGGTTTTCCTAAAATTCTCAGTGTCCTGCTGGTAATCTAGGTCCAGTCTATCATTTTGAAAAAAGAATGATGTTAATTAAAATAAATCTGAAAAGCTTTAAGAAAATATCAAATCAAGCTAAAAGAACAATAGCAGTGGATGAAGAAAGATGGAGAGAATTATAGTAACTAGTTTGACCGTGGGATAAACAAAGGCTGCCATGTTGGTCAAGATAGTTTGCTTTCAACCCAGAGAACATCAAATTTTAGACTGCAATAAAATGAAATGATGCCTGTAAAATACATTAATGTGGTAACTAGTGTCAAAAACTGATATTTATTAAGGTTTTCAGCATTCATACCTTTACACGCCTGGAGTGTAACATGCATGCACATTGTAATGTGAACTCTAATTAATAAATTATGTAAAAGGTGATTGCAAAGCTTTTATGCTTAGCCATTTCCACACGTTCAGTTATCCATAATACATTCTTCGAAGAATTTAAAGTCTTATTTAAGTATTTTGTTTTTATTTGGTATATGAATATCTTTCTGCATAAACTTGCATTTGAAGTTCATATTAAACTTTTCATGTTGTTGTTTATAAATGTATGTTTCTTTAAGTGTAAATTTACATATAAATTGAAACAAAAATAAAACTTCTCAGAAATGGAAATCTCCTGCTATAACTCAATGTTTATCTTCCTGTATTATGTTTAACCCAAGACAAATTGAAACAAACAATTCTTTCTTAATAGTACATTATAAACTCTCCCCAAAAATTCATGACAAAGGCTTAGCTAGTCTAAATTCATTTGTATTTGACCGAATGAAACTCATTTAGATTATGTCTATCATGCTCTTTTTAAATTATAACATTCCACTTTGCAGTGTAACATGGGCATTTTCGGATATTAAACACATTTTGTAATTTAAATGTTGTTATTCTAGCCATCACTTAAACACAATGTCCAGGTTAAAACGAATAATTTTAGGTGAATTTTCTTTTCTTTTATTTGTACATTCTTACATGACAGTTTAAGTATCTTTAATTTTTTCTAATCATTCTGATTTACAAGTGAAGACATTTTCACTATGAGATACAATTATCTTTCAAACTGAAGTACATGCAATCCCAGACCCCTCTTCTGCTCTCGAAAAATGCATTTGAATAAATTTGTTTGCATAATAATTTAACAGAAACTAGGAAAAGAAAAGAAAATTAGTGTGAGAGACATGATTAAGGGTCCCTGAGAGATTTCTGCATGATTTTACACCAAGATTTATTCTAAATGGATGAATAACCAAGATTCCAGATTTGTAAATCACATTAAGCTACCTAGGTAATGTTTCAATTTCTGCCTCCAGGTATAGTTGAAAGGTTTTTGGCTTGTTTTGTTTTGTTTTGCCACAATGAACTGTGTTTGACTCCTAAGTTTTGACCTTCGATTTGTGTGATTAGGGCTGAATTATGTATTCCTTTTAAGCCTCAGTTTACTTATGAGTAAAAGTACAGGTGTTAACATAAAAGTTTTAACAATTGGGAAAAACTGTAAGATTACCTGGGAAGTATCTGTGAGCAAGAAAAGTTAATTTCTTTTTAATCCTTTTCTCTCCTTCAAGTCATTCCCAAAAAAATTTCCTACCCTTAGACCTCAACATTAGGATAATAATGTGCCCATACATTAATGTTTTTCTCCTGAAGCCTAATTCTACTTCCATATTCCCATTTTCAAAATATTACACCACCATTGACCCAACCTAAGTCAGAACTCCCTGATGGCATTTTGACTCCTCAGCCTCCCCTGAGTAACATTTATGAGGTTCCCATATTCTGTCAATGCTATATTTTTCCTGTCTTTCAAATCCTTCTCACCATCTTAGCTGTCCTCTGCCAAGTTTAGAATCTCTCTCTCTCTCGTTTTTTTTTTCTTCTGTCTCACTTAGACATATTTGGCTGCTATATACCCAATCTTAGGTGATGAATGGCTCCTCTGTCACCAAAGTGATTTTTTAAAGTATAGTATTGATTATCAAGTTAAAATCATCGAAGTTTTTATCACTCTGTTTTAAAATCTAAGCTATTTAGCATGACATGAAAAGCTTTTTTTAAAAATTAAACTTGGCTTATCATTTTCCCATTGTCTCATGCTATTTTTTTCATTTTAAAATAATGAAATGTAGATGTCCAACGTCACAGTGTTTCTCATGGTGTCTGTCTCTTTAGGGGCACAGTGCTCTTCTTTATGAGGAATCCACCTTGACTTCCTCCAACCTCACTCATAACTCTGACAACTCCTCCTCACTTTCTCCTGTCCGTCAAGGTTGAGTCCAGGCAACAGTCATCTCAAGAAGCAACTGAGCCACAGCCACTCTCTTCACCCTTCCAAGTGTGTTTTAAATGCCATTTGTACAAGTAGTTCATTGCAACAATCATTCTTGATGTACTTTTCTATCTTCATAGAAATATACTTATTGATATACACTGTTTAAAATTCAACTTAGTATTATGAGAGCAAATAAGACTATAAAAACAATAGCTCTCATTAGATCTCACATTCTAGGATTGGGGTGAGTGGTGATATGATATTGGTAGTGGTTTTATACACAGCCCACTATTTACACTAAGATTCAGAATACTCTTCAAGATGGCAGGGAATTAAAGATGCATGCTTCTCATAGAAATAACACTGTGGTATGGTCTGAATGTATTACCCCACCTCAGAATTCATATGTTGATACCTAATTACCAGGGTGATAATATTAGAAAGTGGGGTCTTTGGGAGGTGATTAGGTCATGAGGGCAGAGCCTTCAAAAATGGAATTAGGGCCGGGCGCGGTGGCTCACGCCTGTAATCCCAGCACTTTGGGAGGCCGAGGCGGGTGGATCATGAGGTCAAGAGATCGAGACCATCCTGGCTAACAAGGTGAAACCCCGTCTCTACTAAAAATACAAAAAATTAGCCGGGCGCGGTGGCGGGCGCGTGTAGTCCCAGCTACTCGGGAGGCTGAGGCAGGAGAATGGCGTGAACCCGGGAAGCGGAGCTTGCAGTGAGCCGAGATTGCGCCACTGCAGTCCGCAGTCCGGCCTGGGCGACAGAGCAAGACTCCGTCTCAAAAAAAAAAAAAAAAAAAAAAAAAAATGGAATTAGTGCTCTTACAAAGCAACGTCCTGGGGCTGTTTGTTTGCCCTCTTCCCTCCTACCATGTGAGGACACAGTAAGAAGGTGACATCTATGAGAAAGGAGCCCTCACCAGACACCGAATCTGCTGATGCCTTGATTTTGGACTTCCCAATCTCCAGAATTATAAGCAATACATGTCTGTTGTTTAACAATTACCTAGGGGCTGGGTGCGGTGGCTCCCTCCTGTAATCCTAGCACTTTAATAGGCCAAGGTGGGCTGATCACTTGAGGCCAGGAGGTTTGAGACCAACCTGGGTAACATGGCAAAACCCTGTCTCTACTAAAAATACAAAAAATTAGCTGGGTGTGGTGGTAGGCACCTGTGATCCCAGCTACTTGGGAAGCTGAGGTGGGAGGATCACCTGAGGCTGGGTGGCGGAGGTTGCAGTGAACTAAGATGGCACCACTACACTCCAGCCTGGGTGACAGAGTGAGACTGTCTCAAGAAAAAAAAAAAAAGGAAAATTGCCTAGTGTAAGGTTTTTTTATATAGCCACCAAAATGTACTAAGACATGCTGTAACTATTGAGATCTTACATATTTTCACATTTTTATGAAGATAGGTGATTTTTAAAAATATTGTTTTAATCCAACTGTAATAATCCTTGAAGATTCTTTAATATCCCAATAAAGGAAAAAATCACTGACATAAATGTATTTTTTATTCTTGAAAAACATATGAAATAGAAGAAAACCTACAGATATTGCTATTAATTGAGTTCCTACATTCAGTCAATGTCTGTACTTCTGGAAATCAGCATAATAGTAACAAACTAACACTCACTTAACTCACTCTTCCCATCTCCTGTTCCTGATGTTCAACACAGATGAGCAGAAGTGTGCTACTTAATTAATAAATACTTCATAAATGCCTTTTTTATTAATATGTCTTACAATTAAAATTTAAAATACTTATCTCTCATTTATCCTTATGTACATGGAATGTCATAAAACTAATAACATTTAATATTTAGAAAAACAATGTGAAATTTGTTTTGTACAATTTATATTTACTATAACGTATTCTTCTTGCTTTATATCTGTGGAAACATTAACCTCGTTGGGTCAAACATAAACTAAGTATTTGTCCCCAAAAGAATAGACTGTGGAAACTACAGGGAAAATATGCATGTAGGCCTGTAATACCAGGGCACCACACTTCAAATAAACAATGTGAGCAGTGAAGAGCCATCAAAATGAGTAGTTAGGAGTAGCAAAAATAACATTTGCGACGTAAGAATATTGGTCTGGAGTTTCTGTTGAATAATGATTAGCAGAAGGTAAATCTGAGAGTCAGACTTCCAGTAGGAGCTGGTTGTAAAATTCTTGGATGGAGGTAACAACAATTTGAACTAGAATAACAGTTGTAATTGAGGAGAATGATCAGGAAGATTGGCATGAGAGCCATTTCCATTCATTTGACATATCTTCATTAATCTTGGTAATTTACCAACATGTAACCTTTGGGAAGTTATTTAACCTTTCTATATGTTATTTTTCTCATCTGTAAAAATATATAATAGTGACATTGACTTCATAGATTTATTAATATTAAATGAATGCATATAGAATGGTTTAAGTGCAAATACATATAAGAGGTGATGATGGTGATGATGACGATAAAGCATGAACAGTGTTTGCAAACACTAATTAGTGAAATATGAGAACCCCCCCACATTGCCCCCCCCCACACACACACACACAGAGAGAGAGAGAGAGAGGCCAGAAAAAGAAATTAAGTTAAAACATCTTTTTTTTTAGGCAATTTGTGTTGCAAGTTATAAGAATTATTAAAAATAGAAGAAAGTAGTTGAAAATGGGTAAGTGGAGATAGAAAAATTGTTAGTGATTGGAGGTATAAGTTTATATAGGAGAGAAATAGAGAAATTATAGGGAAATAATCACTGCAGTTTCATATCTGGAAAAGAGAAAATGAGCAAGAATTGTATATTAAGACATTGTAATGGAAGCAAAAAATGAAGGAAGAAATGCCCTCACCCAGGATAGTAAAATAATATAAAGGCTGAACTAGTAAGAGTTACCTCATATCTAATGAAGGGATGTGCAAATTCTATGGAATTTTCCACATCATTATTGACATCAAAATGTCCCTAAATGTGTTATTTTGTATCATGTGTTTGTAGACTATGGATATTGGAAGTTACAGCTACTAGAGAACTATTACTAATATTAGCAAAGTTGGGGTTTTAACTTATTATAAAGATGATTTGCCAATCATGTTATTTAAGTTTACAAATACTAAAAGTCAAGCTATCTGATTTTGTAAGTATTAAAACCCAAATGAATTTATTGGGTTTCACTTAATTAATGAGTGGGCATGCCTCTAGCCAGCTTGCTTTCTGTATGTTCAGGTAATCTCCATTTCACAACTCCAGCAGAAAGACAATATCTTGCTTTTATTATTCATTTATCAAACCTAATATAACCATACCCCAAAATATTGTAGCTTAAAACAATATGGAATTTATTATATCTTACAATTTTCTAGGTCATACATTTAGGCAAGAATTTTCTATTAACAAGAAAGTTATAGAAAGTTGTGTTAACACAGGTTATTTGGTAGTGTTCAGCTGACTGGTCCCCTCGACTGGAGAATGCAAGATGAGTTCATGCACATATCTGCTGTTTTTGTGAAGATGGCTAGGAGGCTTAATGTTAGAATAGGACTGGCATTTGGGTGCTTCCATGTGGAATATCTATGTGGTGGGGGCTCCTCCTTCCATTACAATGTCTTAACATATTATTCTTAACATACTATTCAGGCTAGTTGGCTTTCTTACATGGTCACTCATGGTTCCAGGTAAACAATGGGGAAACTGTCATTTCTCCTGAAGCCTAGGCCCCAGATTGGCAAAGCATCACCTCTATTGTATTTTATTGGTCAAGCAAGTCACTAAGGCCAGCCTGGAGTCAAGAGAATGGAAATTAAATTCCACTTCTCAGTGGGCAGAGTAGCAAAGTATTTGTGACTATTTTCAATCCACTCTATTTAGAAAAAATCCTGACTGACAGTTTCTGCCTCTGTCATATCCTCACATGGATGAAAACAGGTTATTCACCAACAGATCCAAAAGAAAGGAGAGTGAAAAAAAGTGCTGTGTAAAAAAGTTACAGTACTAATGTATATTAGCCCATGTTCACACTGCTACGAAGAAATACCCAGGACTGGGTAATTTATAAAGAAAAAGAGGTTTAACGGACTCATAGTTTCACATGGCTGGGGAGGCCTCACAATCATGGTGGAAGGTGAAGGAGGAGCAAAGGCACATCTTACATGGTGGCAGTCAAGAAAGTGTGTGAATGCAGGGAAACTACCCTCTATCAAACCAACAGATCTCGTGAGACTTATTCACTATCATAAGAACAGCGTAGGAAACCTCCCCTCTCATGATTCAATTAACTCCTACTGGGTCCCTCATGTGGGGATTATGGGAGCTACAATTCAAGATGAGATTTGGGTGGGGACCTAGCAAAACCATATCAATAAACATCATCCACCAACAGGCTAATCAGACTATCATCTAAATATCAATCTTCTCGCTAAAAAATTTAGACAATATAAAGTAAGTTATTTTGTTGTAAACTTTCTGAAAATATTAATATAGTGATTTTTTTTCTGTTCTTTTGACAATGTACTTAATTAGGTGGACCAAATTTGAAAAAAAAAAAAGGAAAATGTTTCAATACTTTAAAAGACCAGTATGATTAATTTTAGGTATACACTTGTCCACTTTTTTCAGAAAGAAACAAAATTTTCACTGACTTTTTGCAATAATGTTTATAAATTAAAGGCAATAGTGACATATTTGATTAGAAGTTTATGGATATACATGACTGATCAACCAATGAAAACTATTTCATAAGGACTAAGAATTAATGAGAAAGGAATGGAAATACAATAGTTACGAAGAAAGTGGCACTGTGGATTTGACATTTATAATGGAATAGCTGTTAATTTTTCCTCTTCTATATGTTACTTTAATAAGATTTGTCAGACCACTGTACAATTTATCTTTCCGCACATTTCTCTTACAGATGATGGATCACTGCATATTATAAACCAAATTTTCAAATAAAATGAAGAAGAGACTTGCTCTCAGCAATAGATGCATATGAAATAATGGCATTTGTGTGATTATAATCATGCCACCAGTACTCTACTATTCTTTTCCCAAAAAATATGTTTGTAATCAGAGCTTGACTACCAGTTAAATTCTATTAGTTTTTTGTTGGTGGTGGTAGTTCATATGTAAAACAGGTACTGTATGAACTTTTTTCTTTTCCTCTTTAATTTTCTCACATTCTTTTCTACCTTCTTTTATGCCTCTTAATTCCTTACTGATCTTTCTATTTCTCTATCTATGTCTCAGCTGGCTTTGTGCCTTTGTGCCTTTTTTTCTCTGTTTTTGTATCTTCTTCTTTGTCTCTACCTGTCTTTATTTCTCTCATTGACATTGGCTTATTTGTGCCAAAACAGAAGAGAGCCTAACAAAATAACTTACAAATACAACATCCTCGGTAGATTCAGTAGATGTTTATTGAGTCAATGTCCATACAGGATTCAGTGCAAGACAAGATTGGTGGATGTGCAGTTTATAAGGCTAAAGCCAGATGGGCGAGAGATACTGTGAGCTTTCGTTTTTAATATTTCAATACTGTATTGGTCAGGGTTTGCCTGAGAAACAGACCAATAGGATATATATATAGTCTGAAAGGAAAATAAATCTCGGGACCCCCAAATCACTAAATCAAAGGGAAAAGTCAAGCTGGGAAGTGCCTGCCTCCATTTTATTCCTAAATAAGATAGCTATTATACAAAGACAAAAAAAGAAAAAAAAAAGCTACATACCTTCCTCACAGTTTGCGCACAAGGAAATTGCTCGTAGGCAAAGGACAGACAGAACTCAAAATCATCCCTCTGCTCATCTGAGACAAATGCATATCTGACGGCTTCCTCTGCCCTATTGCTTCACTAAGCCAGACTAAGGCATAAGTGACTATTCCTCTGCCCTCCTCTATGTAAATTGTGTATTCACTGAAAGGCTAATCAGAGACTCAAAAGAGTGCAACCAATTCCCTCTTATCTACCTGTAACCTGGAAGCCCCCTTCCCTGCTTCAAGTTATCCTGCCTTTCTTGTCCTAACTAATGTACATCTTACATCTATTGATTGATGCCTCATGTCTCCCTAAAATGCATAAAACCAAGCTGTGCCCCGACCACCTTGGGCACATGTCAGGACCTCTGAAGCTGTGTCACCGACACATCCTTAACCTTGGCAAAATAAGCTTTCTAAATTGATTGAAATCTGTCTCAGATACTGTTGGGTTCACAATAGACATACAGTCATATCTTAGTATCCACAGGGATTGGTACCAGGACACCCCCCCATGGATACCAAAATTTGTGGATGCTCAAGTCTCTTATATAAAACGGTGTTGTATTTTCATATGACCTATGTAAATCCTGCTATATACTTTGAATGATCTTTAGATTACTAATAATACCCAATACAATCTAAGTGGTAGGTAAATAGATGCCATACCATATTTTAAAAATTTGTATTATATTTTACGATTTCATTCTTACATTTTTTTCTGAATAGTTTTGATCTATGGTTGGTTGGGTTCATAAATATGGAACTCATATGTACAGAAGACCAACTGTACATAAGAGGAGATTTATTATGAGAATTTGCTCATGCAATTATGAAGGCGAAGTCCCATGATATACTAACTTCTGGAGACTCGGGAAAGAGCCAGGGGTATAATTCCATTTGAGGCCAAAAGCCTGAGAACTGTGCCATGGGATTCAAAGGCCAGAGAACCAGGAGCTCTCATGTCCAAGGGCAGGGAAAAAATGAACGTCCCAGCCCAAGGAGAGAGAGAATGTGTCCTTTCTTTACCTCTTTTTTCTATTCCATCCCTCAGTGGCTTGGATGATTCCAGCCACATTGGCAAAGGTAGATCATCTTTACTCAGTCTACCGATTCAAATACTATTCTCTTCTGGAAACACCTTCACAGGCACATCCAAAAATAATTTGTTTACCAGCTATCTGGGCATCCCTTAGCTCACTCAAGTTGAAACACAGAGTTAGCTATCACAAAGACCAATATACCTTTCGGCATGGGTCAGTCAATGTTATGAGTGTTTATAACCGGACCTGTCACTATCTCTTGATTCAGGAATTAATCCGCTATCCTCTCTTTCGTTCTATTCTTTCCCAAGTAAAGATACCATCCTAATTAGCCAACATCACACTTTCTCCACTGGTGAAATAATCCTGTCTACTATATAGTAACAGATATATATGGGCAAAAAAGGTCAATTTTTCAGCTAGGTTCTGGGTTTCTATAAAAATGACATGATTCTAGGTTTCTATAAAAATGACATGACCATTCTTTATTATTATTATTTTAGAGACAAGGTCTTGCTCTTTTGCCAAGGCAGAATACATTGGCACCATCTCAGCTCAATGCAGCCTCAGACGTTGGGCTCAAGAAAGCCTTTCTCCTTAGCCTCCCAATGTGCTGGGATTACAGGCATGAGACATTGCACCCAACCATCATTTACTATTAATTTAAATTTGTCCTTTGTTCTTGGACCTGGGGCCCCAATAGAACAATTTTTCTCTTGTTATAGGGATCCATCAGGAAAACTTTGAAATGAGAAAAACAAATGGTCTACATATGAATTATTCAAAGGCTTGTATAATCAGTACAGTATTCAAATTAAACCCAAGAATGTGTATATTAGGCAATTATTCATAAAAATTATTAACATTTTAATTTTTCAGAGTTGGATGTGACATTTTGCATAGCTTTGCTTAAACATAGCATGGAACACTGCAATTAGAGCCATAGTTCCATACTCAAGCATTGGATGAGTGTTTATAGAAGTCTACAAGTAATATTGTGGAAATGAAATGGAACACTGAAATCAGAGCCATAGTTCCATGCTTAAGCATTGGATGATTTTGGATGAATTCTTACAAGTCTCAAATATTGAAAATATTGAAAACTTAGTGTTATCAGTTGTCTATCTAAAATGTTAACATAGTGCACTTTAAATAATATATATACCTATAGTATTTGCCATTTTAATTAACTTATTTATAGTATTTTCAGGACCTATATTGAATAATAAAGCATGTATTTGTAAGGGTGTAATAAAATAGAAAGAAAAACAAGTTTATATCAACCTTTAAATTCACTCCTACTATAAAATTATGTTTCTATTTTACAAAATTAAAATCAATTACTTCTATTGATTATAATCTTTGTCATTGATAAGTAATTCACTTAGAATAATTATTTCATTAAGAATGTTTACACTCATCAGATGTATAACATTAAAAAAAACCTAAGTGTATTACATATTAACATATTTACACCACATCTTATTTAAGAGAAGCTTTAAGATTTATTACTGTAAGATAAAATAAAATAGACAGTGAATAGATGATGAAGTCAATAAGAAAGACAAATGAGGTTAGGACTAGGTAAACTCTTTCCAACATATTTATTTGCTAGTTGTGGATTTTGCCAAAGGAAAAAAAAATGTTTCACCATGCCTGTATGGAAAATATAACTAACATTTAAAAGAAAATCATGTATTCCTGGTCCTAAGGCCAAAAATTATTATAGTGACATACTTCTATAAAACACCTTTAACTTATTAAGGAGGTCAATTTTATGGTGTTATTCATTATACTATCTTTTGATACAGATGTAAAGAAAATCACCTTGTGGTAGACACAATTTATACAGGACATCAAATCCATACATTACAAGTTTGTGGCTCTCTCTTTGTCTTACTCTCCAGGTGTAGAGATAGGTGAATTTAGAATATTGTTTCACATTTTGATAGCTAAAATTTGACAAACAATTTTTCCAGGAAAATGACCAAATGCCAGCCACACAAGGCTTTACAAATGCATTTAGGATGCTTATGGTTTCCCTGAAGCCTAGGTTGAATACTCATGATTAAGAGCAGGAGGTTCTCAATGAGGCTGATTATGAAAATCTACTGGGAGGACTTAAAAAAATACAGATTTCTTATCTGTCTCCCAGAACATATTGAATCAGAATTGGAGGGAGTGGGGGAGAAGGGGAGAGTTGAATAAAGAGGCTGAGAGTTTAAATGTTTAGGGTATCTACTGGTGAATTTCATGGTCTGTCAGAATCCAGAACTACTAAAGAAGAAATGGCTGCCATTCCTCAGACCATTTTCCATCTGCAAAATAGATGAGACATAATCCAAAAGATAAAAATTATGAGATAAAAGGAATGTGTGTGAAACATTAATAAAGGAAACAATAAACCACATTTATTTGGCTTTTACTCCTGCTGTGTAGTATGCTAAATCTTAATATAGTTTATTTTATAAATTTCTCACTTAAACAAAACGTATACAACAGGTATTATTATTGCCGTCATTCCCCAACTGTTATGTATGACAAAACTAAAGTTTAGAGAGGTTAAGTAACTTGTTCAAGATCTCAGAGTAACTGAGGGGCAGAGAGTGATTTCACCCCAGATAATCTGATATCAGTAAAATATTTCAGTACAATGTGGAACTGAGTTACATTTTCATGTGGATCATACTTCTCTAGGATGGAGATCTATACTATACTGGCGCAAGGATGTCTCGCTATGCTAAAAGGATTGTGTCCAGGTGATGGGAAGATTAAAGGTAAAGCTGAATACTTCTAACAATAAGCTTGAGGGTATTTTTGGAGAGCAGACAGCTGGGTTTTTTGAACTATATGTGCATTTATTGGCCTGACATTGAGAATTTTACAAACAAAGCTTTACAATATATCCAATTTGCAAAAACCCAAGTAGCATGTAAGACCTCTCCTATCAGAGAATAAAGACTATGATTATAGTCAACTGTGTTGTCAGGTTTTTAATCTTGATTATCTGTTAGACAAAGAAATTTACATATACATTTACAGTGCTCATAAGGTAACTAGACAGAAAAATCAGTAAAAAATAAAATGTCAAAGATATCTTTATGTATGTTTTTAAAAAGCTCACCTGAAACAGAAATTTGTGAATTAATTTTCTGCAGGTACTCTTCTTCACTTACTTTTCTTCCTCAAAAATAATTAATATCATACTTTATCCCCAATCATACTAGAAAATATTGTCATAAGGCAGGTTTTTGGAACCAGTGTAGAACTCTGATTGTCAGGATAATGGAGAAGGTCTACATATGAATTATTCAAAGGCTTGTATAATCAGTACAGTATTCAAATTAAACCAAAGATTGTGCAAATTAGGCAATTATTCATAAAAATTATTAACATTTTAATTTTTCAAAGTTCAATGTGACATTTTGCATAGCTTTGCTTAAATATAGAATGGAACACTGCAATTAGAGCCATAGTTCCATACTCAAGCATTGGATGAGTGTTTATAGAAGTCTACAAGTAATATTGTGGAAATGAAATGGAACACTGAAATGAGAGCCATAGTTCCATACTTAAGCATTGGATGAGTTTGGATGAATTCTTACAAGTCTCAAAGTGATACTGTGAAAATAAAAACAAATAAGAAATACTAATAAGAAAAATTATTGATGATTCTGCAAATGTCAACGTGGGTCTGATTATTTAAATTTACCAATTATAATCAACCAGATATCTTGAAATCTGAACTTAAGCCCTTGTGAGGTTCTCCACCATCAATCTATATTTTTTCTCCTTGGAGAATACAGAGACTCCACAAAAAAATTCTATCCCAGTTGCCATACACACAAAACACATACCTCCTTGTCTTTAGCATATTGTAGGCATTCTATTTTTAAAAGTGAATGACTTTATTCCTCTTATAATATCAAGATATACTATTTTCAGTGGTTTAGCATAGAAATAATGAGACTTTGAAGTAGGGCAGTAATTAAGTGAAAGTGTTGAAGAGTTGCTGTATTTGAGTGCTAGAAATGACTGAATTTTCTGCAAGAGAGGCATATTAACATTCAGGAGATGTCTGCCTTTTTGGATTAGGTAGATTATAACACGACCAAACAATTTAGGGAACCCAAGAAATAAGTCATTTGGGAGCAGAAGTATGGTCTTTGTAAGAGATAAAAAAATTTATTTAGGACAAACTAAGTTCAATATGTTTATGAGAATTTCCCATAGATGGGATCCCCTGAACGCAGGCAGAAATGCTATTGGGGTAATCTTTTATGCTTGTGCATAGACATCCAATAATTTTGGTAGATTGAAAAGTTAGTATCTTCACGGGTTCTGGGGAATAGGATGTCTTTGGGAGGTCATTATTCTGCCTATTACAAGTTTCAGGAAGTGAGTTCAGAAGTTCAAGTTTAAGAGTGGGAAGTATTACGGACAATAGTATCGAATGTTGCAGAGAAGTTAAATATTAGAATGTTTCTGCTACTTTTCTGTCTTTTAGAGATATATTAATCCATGTACAATTGCTTTCAAACATGAAGAAGATTTAGTTAAGCATAGGAGTCAGGATGTGTGAGTGAAATCAGGGATCATGAGCTTAGGGAAGAGAGGACGAGAAGAGCATTCTCCCAAAGTAAACTCTGCCAAGGTGCATCAGGACAAGTTAAAAACCAAAGCCCATCACAATGGGGGAAAAACAAAACGTGATATTACAAGTAAAGTTAAACATTAAGCAACATTTTTAAATCTTCTCTAAAGTTTGAGAATCTTACCAGCTACTGCTGCCCTGCTATTCAATATCTGTGGGGACTCCAGTTCAAATCCTGTGTTAGAAGTGCAGCTGTGGCTGGGGGAAGAGGCACAGCCTTCTGGAATTAAATGGACTAGAGACTCTTGAGTATTGGTGTCCTCAAACACCAACTAGCTCAAAAAGCAAATTTCAGTACTGAAGAATGTATGCATAGGCAGCATTTGATGGAAAGAGAAGAATTGCTCTTTCAAGAATGAACATGATAAATAGGTAGAGTTAAATGCTGGGAAACCAAATCCCCTAAATAACTTTCTTTAATTATACTTTAGGAATATATGTATTAACCATACAATGTATTATATGTATTAACCATATTATATGTATTAACCACGCAATGTATTATATGTATTAACCATACAATGTATTAGCCATTTGCTATTCTTCTCACAGTTCTTTTTTGGTTATTAAGTTTTTGTTGTTTTTTGTTTTTTTTTTTTTTTTAGGAAATGTTACTGGAAAAGTAAACACATTAGGTTCTTTAAGATTACTGGCACATTTCTTTCTTGAA
Source organism: Homo sapiens (assembly GCF_000001405.40). Lineage (NCBI taxonomy): Eukaryota > Metazoa > Chordata > Mammalia > Primates > Hominidae > Homo > Homo sapiens. The sequence continues at coordinate 179,232,671 of NC_000004.12, read as the reverse complement.
TTAGATTCTGCCTGAAAGGATCACAAAGAAAGGTAATTAAAAAGGTGAAAAATGCTACAATGTGGGGAATAAAGTTTAATTTTGACAAATTTCATGATTTGTCCTGGAATCACGATCTAGAGGATAAAGATCAATATCTGAGCCAAACAGATCCAGAAATGAATCTCCGATCACATTTTGTTGTGCTGTCATCCCAGTCAAGACATTTGCTACATTTTGGCCTCCACATAGTTAGACTCTATACATAAGTCTATTGCTCACATATAAGTAGATATAGTAGTCCCCAAATTGATGAAAAATTAGAGAAAATTAATGAAAACACATGACAGTGTCTGCTGCATAGCAGGCATGCAAAGAGAGTAAGCAAAAATAACCATCATAAACGTATTAGACTTCCAGAGTCTTCATAGTACACTTGAACCTAGTCTTGATATTTGGTTGAGGAAATGCATTCATCCTGTGTATGTCTTTTATTTATTCACCTAAATATTAAAATTTAATTTATTCTATTTAAGGTGGGAAACTTGAATTGAGGTAGGGGTAAAACCCTCTTAGTTCATGAATCTTGTATATTAATTAATATTATTTATTTTCCTTTGGGATGCCATGTAAAAACATTTAACATAAAGAAAAACCCCATTTTAATTCTAACGATATACTCACAGGCAAATGCTTAAAATAGACTTTTACTTCAAATTAAAGCACTGCAAGGGGTTAACTTCTTGTGAAAGAACTTGTAAGTGTTGATGATATCATTAATTTTCATGTAATATAAAATGATAATTATCTTTCATTTTCTTCCGAAGATTTAACTTGGCAGTGGAGAAGATTTCCATCCTGAAGTGCAAGATTAAAATAATTAAAACAGCCCATTAAACCTAACAATTTTTTAAAGGTCTATTTTTTAAGGTATATAATTTTAAACTATAATTTTCTTTTGAAAAGTCATTGGCACCATAGCTAATCTGAATTGTCTGACAACATCTATGAGTGGGCAAGGCATGCTTTAGACAAGTTAGAAACATGAGTAACACAAGAATACATTCCAGATGCAACTAAAATACCTGCTGTCCAGAAGTGACAATGCATTTCAAAATCTGTTAATGTATAAATAAATATGCCCTCCTCTGCAATTCTCTCCTACCCGAAATGTTCACATTCCAGTTTGGGATAAGTCTAACACATATAAGATGATATTTGATGCCAAAGAAAAACTGAATATTTCTTCATTAAAAACACATTTAAATACAAGCTTGAAAGCAGCATGGTGTAGAAAAAAAATAGCTGGATTTGGAATGAAAGGGAATGACAGGGAGTCAACTGCAGACCCTACCTTCTTTGAGACCTGGAGAAAGTTGCTTTTCTGCTCTCCATTTCCTCATCACTAAAGTCAATAGTGAAGGACCACCTGCCATTATTTCTGTGAGCTTATTTTGTGAAAGTATCTTTTTAGTTACCGTTATTGCACAAATGCAAAACATTTTATTTCTGAGTACTTTCTATTGATATATTCAAGAGAGAAGGAGGAAAACATTGCATGAAAAAATTAAAATTACATGCAATGCAATCAGACAGTCCTGCTGTTAATCTATGATTTGCCACTTAGGAGATGAGAGACCTTGGGCAAGTCTTTCAAATTCTTAGAATCTTTTTTAGCTCATTTGTAAGATGAGCATAATCCTGTCTTCATTGCAAGGTTTTGTGGGAAGTTAATGAAATATTTTCACACGAAACAATAAACTCGAATGCCTGCTACAAGGTAGGCATCTCATCAATCTGAGTTTTCAGTCCCTCATTATATACAATTTATGAGAGTAATGTGTTCTCTTTCCTATGTATTAACAATCTTCATTATCAAAATTCAAACTTAAGTTTAAGACCAAAAAGGGAAGACGTGAAGGAGAAGTAGGGCAAAACCAAAGAATGTTTCCTCTCTAATAGTGCTTTTGAAAATTCTTTTCTGACACTTTTTTTATGCCTTGGTATCTTCTTTAATAAGAGAAAGATGGCCAGAAATATGGCCTAACAATTAACCATTTTAACTCTCAGGATCAGAAAACTGGGGCCCAAGCAGGGGAATGATGCTTCTTTTCTTCTTGGTTTGTTTTATAATAGAAGTTTAGCAATAGAAAATACAGGGAGAAAAGAGAAGTGACATTGCTCAATGAAGGCAATTTTAGGACTTTTAATTATTTTTTGCCCTATGGGTTGTACACATAGGCAATTGCCCATGGGGTACTGTGCCACCCAATAGAGAGCCCCATTCAATGTCAGATATAAGTCAAACACACACACACACACACACACAATCACCTGTGCAGCCCACTAAGTACAGATTTCCTAATAATTCACAGTAACATCAAGTCTTCTAAATAGCTTTGCCAAATTCTCTCTGGCCAGCTTTAGAGCCTCTTGCACTTTGTTAAAGAAGAGTTGATCAAATTCACTTTATTTATTTATTTATTTATTTATTTATTTATTTATTTATTTGAGACGGAGTTTCGCTCTGTCGCCCAGGCTAGAGTGCAGTGGTGCGATCTCGGCTCACTGCAAGCTCCGCCTCCCGGGTTCACGCCATTCTCCTGCCTCAGCCTCCAGAGTAGCTGGGATTACAGGCGCCCGCTACCACGCCCGGCTAATTTTTTTTTGTATTTTCAGTAGAGGCGGGGTTTCACTGTGTTAGCCAGGATGGTCTCGGTCTCCTGACCTCATGATCTGCCCGCCTCTGCCTCCCAAAGTGCTGGGATTACAGGCGTGAGCCACCGCACCCGACCCAAATTCACTTTATTTTAGTATCATGAGTACACTTTGTCCCAATCTACTTCTAACTGTCCCAGTCAAGTCATAAAATGTTTTCTTGTCAATAATCATGTTAAAAATTCTTAATATAGAACAGTAAATTACACTTTTCAGTTTATATTATGAAATTTTGTATTCATAAGGTTGCATGACCTAGATATAAGTGGATAAAAAAAGAACTCCTAGCAGACCTTTTAGAAATCTCTATGAAGCAAATTTGATGAAATAACCCAATATTTAATATTAATCACAAGTTAACCTGTGACAGAAAAGCCTCTTCAAAGTCTGCTCAATCCATGCACCTGGGTGCCCTAAGAATAGCTTATCTTCTCAGAAGATGTGATAAACTAGGTCAGTTGGGAGGGGTGACTTACAGAGACACTTGTGGCCACCACTGAGCTAGGCTTGTTGTCAGGCAGTAGCATCTGTAGTTCTCTATGGAAACACTAAGATACAGGGCATTTTCTTACAAAAGAGTAAAATTCAAAGTCACTGTAACTCTAGGGCCTTGTCTTATTTTATAAAGATGAACATCCTAATTCCCCTAACATTTACTTTATGTCTGAAGTTTGAGGCATTCATATTTGCAAGGGAAATTCACACACACAGGGAAATTCACACACACACACACACACACACACACACTCTCTCTCTCTCTCTCTCTCTCTCTCTCTCTCTCTCTCTCTCTCGGAGTGTCAGAAATAATAGATTGAATCTGAATCTACTAAATAAAAATATGTGGAGAAGAAATTAATAATTTCCTTATAAAGTACTTTTAGGTTCCCATATTTAATTAGCACATGCCTAGGTTTACAACTGTGGTCCTGATATGAGAAGTCATAACCCTGGAGTGTTAGTCCTTTAAGTTTTTTGGGCATTGCTTTAAATAACCTTAAATACTGAGTATGTACTATTGGAAAGATAATGTCACAAAGGATGAACAACTGCTGTTTTAAAGATTTTATTGTAAGCAGATGGAGAGAGGCTCCAGGTATTATAGAAATTTAATCCACCTGAGCAATCCTCCTGTTTTATAGCCTCCTGGCCTACAGCCTGTACTCACCAAAACCCTGGGTGGAATGCAGTCTCCTTGTTGTTTTAAACCAGCTCTTTCAGACTCCCAACAATTTATAGATGAACCTCAGTGAACTTTCCTCAGGACCATGCTAAAGTCTCCACCTTAGGAGGAGCTATAGCTTCATTATCATAACATGTGACCTGTGTGCTGGCATAAGGACCCACTAGGGTTTTGCCACTGGGACCCCTCCTCTACATGCGATGATGCACCCTTTCCCCCCTCCATCACCCCATAAAACCTTCCTGTCACTTTCCTTCGAGGAGGCAGGCACTGCTTTGGAGAATACTCCAGGTCCTCCTTACTTGACCCAAGTATTAAAACTTCTATTATCAAAACTTATGTTCTCCTGGAGTTATTTGTTTCTTGCCAGGAAAATAAATCCTAGTATTTTTCAGCTTTCACTGTGGTCTTTAAATTTCTAATTTAAAGGAAGAAGACATGTTATAGAGAAGCTAGGGGAACTTTAATTGAGGGGTAAAAGTACCAACATGAGAAATGGAATAACACAGATATAATTAATTCATTCACCCAACAAAAAGAGTTTGGTAGGTATAGTGTATACTATGAATATCCAGTTAGACATGGCCCTCTTCACCAAACAGAGAAGAAAGATGAAGAATAATTCTCAAGGAAGTGTGAAGAATGCTATGATTGTTATGATCATGGATAATGATGGGAGCACTCATCAGGAAAACCTGCCTCATCAAGAAAACCTGCATTTGGTTAGTAAAAGCTTCTTGGAAGCAGAGAGAACCACAGGAATACTGAATGTGTGAATGAATAGAAGTCAGATAGGACAGGAATGGATTTAGAGTTTCTGGCAGAACACACTGCATTTGGCAGGGCCTAGTGATGAGATAAAATGTAATATTCAAAGAACTAAAACCAAAAATCTTTCAGCGTGGCTGAGGCAGGAAATGTAAATAGAGAGTGGCATAAGAAGCTAGACAAGAAGGTAGGGGCTAGACTTTGAACATCTCCTGAGCCAGTCAGGAGATGTTTATGTCATCATAATAGAAAGTCATTGTCCAGCTTTAAGCATAGGTGTGGTATTTCCTCCTTTGTGTCTTAGAAGAACCAACCTGGTGGCCATTTGTGGACTCTTATGAGGAAGATAATGAATGCTCATTAGCAAAGAGACCAGTTAGTGAGGGATGGTTGTTAAATGAGAAAGAAAAAATGGGAAAGGACAGAATGTTTTATTCTCAATAAGATATATTTAAGAGGTGTGAAGGACAGCACTGGTGACTAAATGAATGGGCATGGTTGCAATAACAGAGAGGGAAAGACAGTGTCCACCCCATTTTTCTGACCTGAAAACCTGTGGGCAAAGAAATGTCTTCTATGTGATTGGTAAAGACCGGAAATAAAGCAGCAGTGTGTATGGGTGGAGAAGAAGATGTGCTCATGATGAGTTAACATGCTTTTGAAATACCCAAGTGCAGACACAGACAGCTAGCTGTTTAAGAAAGGAGCTATAGACTTCTATGTACTTGAGTACATAGAAATGAATAGATCCTTCAGAGCGAAAGTGTAATTGAGAAGAAAATCATGGCAAATGTATTCTAAGACTTATAAGACAAGAAGAACACAAGAAGTCTTCCTAAGAAAACAATACTGAGAGAGAAAAATCAAAGAAGGAAAACCAAGGCAATGGGCTGTTATGATTGCTATTAGTGCATTTTAAAACAGAGGAAGGGGTGGGGCATGGTGGCTAACGCCTTTAATCCCAGCACTTTGGGAGGTCAAGTTGGGGGTGGGTCACCTGAGGTCAGGAGTTTGAGACCAGCCTGGCCAACATGGTGAAACCCCGTCTCTACTAAGAATACAAAAATCAGCTGGGTATGGTGGAACATGCCTGTAATCTCAGCTACTCAGGAGGCTGAGGCAGGAGAATCATCTTGAACCTGGGAGATGGAGATTGCAATGATCCGAGATTGCGCCACTGCACTCCAGCCTGGGCAACAGAGCGAGACTCCGTCTCAAGTAAAAAAAAAAGAGGAAGGAGTCAACTGTTGTAGACACTTTTAGAAAGTATCAATAAGGTCTGAAATGTCCTGGGTATTACTCATAAATGAGTCATGGGTAATTCTCCTGACAGGAGTTTTTAATGTGGCAGATGTGGAAGTCACATTGCAGGAAGTTTTACAGAGTAAATTTGATCTGGGTAAGGAGAGAAGACAAAAACAAACAGCGTCCATAGTTTGACTATGGCGTGTGTTACAGGTGGGGTTCTCTATAAGCAGGCTTTGAGGAGGAGGAGCTCATTGGGACATTTATTAGAGAGTGTCCTTGGTAGAACACCTGTGGAAAGAAAGGATGAGGGAGAGTATTTGAGCAGAGAAGAAGTGGAATTACGATGCAGTGCTGACTACAACTCTGACCAAATCCACGGGAAGCCCTGCAGCCGAAATAGCCCATTACATGGCTTAAATGGCTGTTATTTTATACCCTTGCCTTGATGAGTCATTAGTTGCAGGTTGTCTCAGGAAGAGGGTGATTTTGGAAATGTTCCTTCTCTGCAGTTGAGGCAATCCCTGAAGGGTTGTCAACAGCACTTCCAGGAGTCGGAAAGTAAGTGCTCCTGGTTGGGGAGCTGTGAGGCTCATAATTTGTCGTCAGAGTTCACCTTTAGCATTGTTTGAATCTACTTCTTAGGGAGCAAGCCCTCCAGGTTTCTGGTGGGCCTCTTTGCCTTGGAGAAACCTTTTAAAAAGAAAGTAAGTGGGGCAATCTGTAGCCATTCAGCTTATTTTGAGATCACAGCTGATATTTATCTCATTGATTACTCATGACAGAGTCTTCTAGCTTTAGCTGGTAGCTCAACCAATCTGGTGGCTTAGTTGATGATGTGACTCGGATCCTCAGACATCTGATACTCTGCTTATTGTGCCCTTTTTAGGCCTGGGCAGTACACATATCCATTTGTGGTCAAAGCTGAACGAGAGAGTACCAGGAGCTGCCCCAGTAGACAATTTGAGTGCCCTACATTCGTCTCTTCTTTAAGTGTGCAACAGCAGTCCTATCTGCATAGAGATGATGACTCATTTTCTTGACTCCAGATCATTTACCGCAAGTGCAAGGAGGCAGTCATAGTTTATAGTTAATTAAGACTCCTAATATGTTCCCCGTGGGAAGTATCTAGGTCCTTGGGGACCTAGACATCTAATCATGCAAAACCCAGAGTTGTGGAGATGGTTAAAGCGAAAGAGTTCCAGTGGATGATTGAGAGTGACGGTTAACAGGGCTATTGCTGTGTTCCCTCTTGTTTCCTGAACTTGAGTCATCTTCCTACTGGAGAAAATAAACCGTTTGAAATTTATCGATTCTAAGTACATATTGAATCATTTGTTATTTCACACATCCTCATAAAATATCTCTTCCAAGTTCATAGTTTAGCTGCGCCATTACCAGGTGTTTCCAAAATTCTATCAGTCTGGCCACTTCTAGATCATGGCCCATTCCCACACATTCTTTGCAGCAAGGTATTCCTCTGGCCTGATGCAATGTTAGGTGGTAACTTTTGCCAGTTTATTAAATACTTGGAAAAACCATCAGATAATTGTGCTGGCTAGGTCTTCAAGGCAGGAAAGAAAATCTTTACTCCAAATATGTATTTACTCCTATCAGAATTAATTACTGATCCTTCTAGGGTGGAAGGAATGCAGTGTGGTCAACTGGTCGCCAGGTGACTGAATGGTCTCTTAGAGGAATTAAACAAAATCAGGGCTCAGCCTTGGTCTCTGCTGCTAATAGGCTGAAAATTCAATCTGAAAATGCAAGCACATACTACAAGATACATGCATAGTTTCTATGTCTGCTATCATGGATGCTTTGTTTATGTATCATGGTGCCAGCACAGCACTGGGCAGCCAAAGATAAAGGCTGACTGATATCAGCAAGCTGATTCATTTTATTGAATTTGTTGTTTATTGCCTCTTACATAATGACTGTTATTCAGTGGACACTCAAAGATGATACAAAGTTTTTTTATGCTAGTTACCCACTCCCATTCCATTTATAGTTGTGTCTCTAGACCCAAACTGCCTTGTTCCCAATCTTCTGATCTTCTTCCTTCCAGGAGGCCCCTGAGAAGAAAGCCTGCTCATTAGCAACTACAGAGGAGGCTATAAATATCCAAATGTAATGCAGCTTTTCTGTCTACACAACATGGATGATCAGGTTCTTGGCACGCATCTCTAACTATTGGGAAGATTTTCCCTCACCATCCTAGTGTTAGTCTGTAATGCAGCTGCAGTCCATTTTCTGCTTAAAGCCATGTACTGAAATGACACATCCATAGACCAAGCTCCTCTTCTGTCAGCTGGTTGTAGGGATCACCCATAGATGACCACAGGTGCAGGCTGTGAGAGAAACACTGGC